>NC_000012.12:29222381-29375077 GCF_000001405.40 Homo sapiens | reverse complement strand
AGGATATTTAAGGAATTGAAAGTGATTTAATATGGTTGGAACGTAGACTGTGAGTGATTGGGTTTGAAGAGAGGTTAGCAGGACCTGGTTTTTGAAGGGCTTTGTAAAACATGTTAGGATAGAATCCAAGCTCTTAAGTGTAGTGGGAAGGGAAGTTTTACAAAGATTTGAAGAGAAATATCAGATTTATGTATTAAAAAGATAATTTATTATTACAGTATAGAGAGAGAATTGGAAGGTTGAAGATTAGAGGTTGTTGAAGCAATGTAGTGATAGATTGTGGCAGTTGGGACTAGGAACATACTTGGACATAAGGAATTTCTCAGTAGGCCTGAAGAAGAGAAGACAGGCAGATTTAAGAGAAATTTAGAAATAGCTTAAGTCTAAAGATATAACCCATGTTTCTGGCTTGTGTAGTTGGGCTTATGGTGTTATCATTAAGATAGATACAGGAGGAACAATTTTTACAGGGTGAAGTATTCATTTTTGGACTTGTTGAGTCTGAATTGTGTTTGGAATGTCCAAATGAAAAGGTAACAGAAGGCAAGGGGTTATACATATCTGCAGAGAGATCTGGGCAGAGAATCAAGATTTGGGATAAATCAACATGCAGATTGAAATGGAAGGAGTGGGCGATCATTTGGGGAAGGTGTGGAGGTTAAGGGGGAGACCTAGTGCAGAATCTTGAGAGAAAGATGAATTTGCACAGTAAGCCAAAGAGGGTTTTCCAGGTAGAATGAAAATTGGGGATGTGATATCACTTAAGTCAAGGTAAGAGAATGTTTCGAGAAGAAAAAGAAGTGATAAGCAGTGTGTTTTCTCAGAGGTGCAGTTAGATAAGGACTGAGGAGTGTCTGTCAGTACTAAGGAAGTTAATTACCTTGCTCAGAGCAAATTTAGTTAAGAGGTGAGAGTTGGGTGAGGAAGTAGTCACAGTAGATGAATGGGGACAACTCATTCTTTTAAGTTGGCTGTAGGTGTGCTGCGAGAGATGTATTGTTGGAGTTGGACTTGAGTTTAAGGGAGAGTTCTGTTTTAAAGAGAAGAGACATACAGATATTTAATATTTTACTCAAATCAGAAAGAGTAGAAATTGAAAGATTGAAAAAGGGTCAGTTTTTGTGCAGTTACTACTAAAAAGGTACAGAAAATAAATTTGATTATCAGAGCTAAACAAGTTTAGCGGGCATGGCATATACATAACAAACATTCAGAAGCTTAATTTATCGATGGGAATACCAGTTTTATAACTGACGTGGGGGTCAGAAAACTGTCATCTGTTTTGTCTATGACATCTATTTTTTTCTTTCGAATACTAAGTGCATGGGAAAAAAATCATAATTCGAAGGCTGCTTTGTGAGTGTGGAACCAGCAAGGGAAGTTTAGTTGGTTGATTTTAATGGCAGAGGAAATCAATGTATTAATGCTTTCAACTCTACTGTAGAGTAGTAGCTCCCTGCTGGACTGATAAATAGTGCTCCTGGTCAGAGCTTCTTTCCTTTAGACAGTATTCATGTTTACTGCCAGTTTTTCATTCTCTGGCCCTTCTTTTTCTTTATGAATCTTCTTTCTTTTGCCTATTCTTTGTATATTAATCCTCCCCATTAGATTTCAGACCCAAAGTCTGTCTGCTCTCTTCCAGAGACATTATTTCTCTTATAGTGACTTCTGCAACTGTACGATTTATTCTATTATGTGTTGATTTTATTAATAAAGCCTTGATTACTGGGAATTCTTTATAATATTACCTATAGTATTATTTATAAATCAGTCATAAAAATTATGTAAATATCTAAGAATTCAGTTATTTGATTGGCTTTATAACATTTTTAGATGTAGATGACGTGCTGATAAATAGCAAGCAGCCAATTTTTAAATGTTTTGATTATAAAAATAGATAACATGGGAAATCTGAAGTTATATGTAAAGGCAATTAAAATTCATGATCTACTTTTAACATTTTTGTGTGTAGATGTTCAGTTTTGTTTCTTATGTATCTTTTCCTGTCTCCCATAAAGTTAGGATCCATGTGACCTTCTAGTCTTTTCTTATTGTATCAGTATCATGACTATTTTCTTATGTCATTAATTTTTTTTTTTTTAAATAAAAGAGTTTCAGGCCAGGTGTGGTGGTTCACATCTATAATCCCAGCACTTTTTTTGAGAGGCCGAGGTGGGTGGAAGGCTTCAGCCCAGGAGTTTGAGACCCAGCCTGGGCAACAAGGTGAAACTCCGTCTCTACAAAAAATACAAAAATTAGCTGGGGGTGGAGGTGCATGCCTATAGTCCTAGCTATTTGGGAGGCTGAGGCGAGGAGGATCGCTTGAGCCAGGGAGGCTGAGATTGTGGTGAGTTGAGATCACGCCACTGCACTCCAGCCTGGGTGACAGAGCAAGATCCTGTCTCAAAAAAAGAAAAAAAAAAGATTTTCAATGGCTACGTAAAGATGCTTCACCTTAATTTGTACATTGGATACAATGGATTTGTTTCTGTCTTCAGTATTTAAAAATAACACTGTGAGAAATATCCTCGTAATCAAATTTTGGTTAAAACCGCAGGTTATTGTCATAGGATAAATTCCTCAATGGGCATTTACTTAGAAGAGGAGTGGTGTGGTAAATGTCTTCTTCTTCTTTTTCTTCTTCTCCCTTCTCCCGCCTTTTCCCGCTTTCTCCCACCTTCTTTCTTCTTCTTCTTCTTCCATTATTATTATTATTATTATTTTTATTTTTATTTGAGATGGAGTCTCACTCTGTAACCCAGACTGCAGTGCAGTGGCATGATCTTGGCTTACTGCAACCTCCACCTTCCAGGTTCAAGCGATTCTCCTGCCTCAGCCTCCTAGGTAGCTGGGACTACAGGCACGTGCCACCACACCTGGCTAATTTTTTGTATTTTTAGTAGAGATGGGGTTTTCCCATGTTGGCCAGACTGGTTTCTCAAACTCCTGACCTCAGATGATCCACCCGCCTCGGCCTCCCAAAGTACTGGGATTACAGGCGTGAGCGACCGTGCCTGGCCTATATTCTTGTTAGTAATGTATGAGCAGGCCATTTTACTTCACTGTCATTCATTATTGGAAGTGTATTATTTTTATATAGTTTTCAATTTAATAGAAAACATTATCTTAATTTTTATATTTAGACATTATTCATGTGATTGAATTACTTTTCACTTTTTTTCTTGCTATATAATGTGTTTTTGTATTTAAATTGCCTTCCATTAGTAGTTTTTGTCAGGGCATGAATGGGGAAAGGAGTAGTGTGGATAAATACTATGCTTTTTATTTTTAAGGGGGGATGAGAATGTTAAGTTGTTTTAAGGACATTTGTCAGTTATCCTAAATTTAAAGAAACCTTTTTATCTCTTTAAAGGATTCATTTATTCATTAATTTATTTATTCCTTAGCATGACTATATGAAGGAAGAGGAAGGTTTTCCTGAAGATGAGGCGACTGAATCGGAAAAAAACTTTAAGTTTGGTAAAAGAGTTGGATGCCTTTCCGAAGGTTCCTGAGAGCTATGTAGAGACTTCAGCCAGTGGAGGTACAGGTGAGTATCAGTTAACATTAAAAGTTCTGTAGTAAGTACAACTTCTGCGTGATCCAGTCAACAACATATAGAAATGTAGCCATGAGGAAGAATTTATCAATGAATTCTGCCGTAACTTCGTAACTTGTCTGTCTTCATGCCACTCTGTTGGCTGTAATTCTTATTAATATTCTCTATAGCCTCCAACACAGTGCCATCTGTGCCTTTGGCAGTGTTTATTAAAACATTAATACATTAAACCAATGTTTCTGCTTTGCTGCCCTTTCCTAAATATGTGACCTTGAGGAAGTTATTCAAATCTATCTGTCTTAGTTTCTTCCATGAAATAGGGATCATACTAGTATTTACCTCCTAGGGGTTACTATACTATTAATATTTTCATAAAATGCTTAGACCCAGTGCCTGGTACAGATAAAAGTATCAGTTAAGTAAAATAAATAATGAAATATATAAGAAAAATGTGTGACTATAACAATATTCAGTATAATTTCTTTCCCTATGAAAAGGTAGTAAAATAATGTATTTCACTTAAGGTTGACATTTTATTTGGTAAAATGGGTAATAAGTTGCTTACTATTTCTGATCCACTTGTGATTAAGTTTTGTTAATGAAAATAGTGCAAGTTCTTGCAAAATCTATTTTAAGTATTTTGCTTTAGTATATAATAGATTTTCTTTTTGTCAGATCTTTTACTCAGTTCTGTGAATGAGGTGATATATTTAGGAGATTGCCAAGTAGAGGAGAGTTTTGTTAGCTATTTAGAGATGTTATTTGAGTTTCTGGCACACAGATTATTGTGGTTTCTCAGGATCTAAGAAATTAGGCTACCTTTTTGTTTGTTTTAAATTGGGCTTATAGCCCAATTTATATACATTTATATACAAATTATATTTATAGACATGGATGCATTTTTAATAATGAAGCAACTGTTTTCAAATTTGTGCTATAAGGCATGCTTACTTTCATCATTTATCCTATCTGTGACACTGTTTTATATAAGAAATACAAATTTTGTCAACTCTACTTAGTGAGAGATGCCCTTAAAATTGGAGAAATAAAATGCTTTCTTAGTAATGCAAGTGTTTATGTTCATATTTGTATATATTAAACCTTAACTTTTGAGCTGTATTAGAAAAAATGCATAATAAACATTTTGAATAAAAACCTTCTATAGTATGCATTC
Source organism: Homo sapiens (assembly GCF_000001405.40). Lineage (NCBI taxonomy): Eukaryota > Metazoa > Chordata > Mammalia > Primates > Hominidae > Homo > Homo sapiens. Next base: position 29,370,344 of record NC_000012.12, on the reverse strand, counting down.
AAATGGAAGTTACATTATTAGGCTTTTTCTTTTGAAAATTTAATCTCACTTAAATTAGTTTCCTATTCTTTGCTTTTTTTATTGTTTTAATTCTGTTTTTCTTTTGTTGTTGGATTTCCCAGTTTCTCTAATAGCATTTACAACTATGGCTTTATTAACCATAATGGAATTCTCAGTATATCAAGATACATGGATGAAGTATGAATACGAAGTAGACAAGGATTTTTCTAGGTAATCATTTTTTTTCTTCTTGGAATACCTTTAGATTCAAATTGTTTTAAAAAGAGCATACCTTTTAAAAAAGAAAAAGTCTAACCTTCTAGATTTGGTTTGTTTTAGTTCTGAAGAAATAGTCCTGAAAAATTCTCATTAATTGCATGCATTAAGTGAAACCTTTTAGAATCATTTAAATAGTGGTTGAATTCTAAAACTGAGGTTCTTTGATTTAGCATGCTTTGTTTCAAAAAGTTAGGGGAATATTTTTCCTTAGATATGTATATTGTGGAAATTGTTTAATATTTGAAACTGGTTGAAATACCTCACTGATCTGTGTGAGCTGGAAAATAAGTTGTCTAAGGATACATTGTATACCCTTATGACTTGATGTCTATAAATTATACCTAAGCTAAATCTTTATGTAAATAAGATTACTTTTAAACTTTTGAAAATATAGTACCTTAATTATACACTTTACATCTATTCGTTTGTATTATTTGGATTTCTTCAATGGAATGAAGATAATAGGTTTATAATATTAAGATTGCACCAAATAGGAAGACACATTTAGTTTTCAATTACAATCCAGGTTTGCCATTTACATAATTTTAGGGAATTTACTAAATCTGCACCTGTATATGCTTCAGTTTCCTTTTTTGTAAAGTACAGACAGCAATTATAGTATCTTCCTCAAGAGGTTTATGAGAATTAAATTAGTCAACATTTGTAAATTGCTGTGTAACCTTGGGCAGGTCACACCACTGACTTCTTTTGGACTTCAGTTTCTTCATCTCTAATGTACTATTCAGGATAGTATTGGTTTTCAAAGAATTTGTTGTTGTTTTCAGCACCAATGCAATACTTCATTTTTTTCCAAATGAAGTCTTATGTATTACATAGTTCGCCACATAAGCATGGTGAGGATATGCAGAAGTTTGTCTACTTGGCCTACTCCTGGTTCCTATCTCCTGAGCCTAAACTCCTGGGTTATTTGGAACACAGTTTGAACTCTAGATGACTTTAAGACTTCATGAAGGTCTAAAAATCTGTAATTCCTATTTTAAATCAGATGAAAATTATTACACAGAAAAAAGTTATCATAGAAAGCACAGGACTGAATTTGATCATAGCCAGTCTATTATTCGCAATGCTTCATTCTGGTATTCGAAAATTGCTTTGATCTAATCATTTGAAAATGAAAGGCCATGAAAAATTTTAAGCATCAGGTGATTTACTTTTGGTAGTTTGGTTGCATTTATCCTGAGTTACATAGACCTAGTTTCCAGTATGCCACTTTAATGGTGATGTGATCTTAAGCCAGGTATTTACACTACCGTGAACACCAGTGGTTTACTTGAAAATCTGTGAAGCCATCCATTTATAGCTCCATGATATAGAATAAAGGAGATAATATTTGTAGAACATCTAGCATCATGCTTAATATATGGTGTTTGATAAACAGAGAAGAAAGACAATTCCTAATTCTTGATTTTGAGAGTTTTACATTCTTAAAAGAACATTCTATCAAAAGTTTATGTAAATAGAGATTAAGAGGTTAAGACTTTTTCTGAGTTGCTTAGAGTTATTGATTATAGAGTTGCCATTATTAAAGGATACTGTGTTCAAAAACCTGTGAAGTCAGAAAGGCTTTTGGAATAAGGGCAAAATAGAACTTGTAATTTAAAGAGCCTTTGTTTTGGCCATGAGAAATGCAATTCAAGTTCTAATCGACATAATTTATTCTGCTTGAAATCCAAGTTTTTAATAGGTCAGTTGATTTATATTTCTCATGTTTTGCTAATTAATTGGTAGGTACTAATGTTTAATATTTTGTCTTTCAGCAAATTAAGAATTAATATAGATATTACTGTTGCCATGAAGTGTCAATGTAAGTACACCTTCAACTTGCTGAATCCACATGTAGGTTATGGTTCAAACAATTGCCAAGCAAAAATAAAAATCACTGGTTGTACTTTATTTTTCCTTTATAATATTTTAAAGTTTTACTGTGGTATTATTTAATAATACAAATTGTTTTACTCCTCAGCTTATATTCTTCAAGTTTCTTTTCCATAAAGAGAAGAGATAAAACTTTCACATTAGTATAATTAAAAGAAAGTTGGAGGAAATGTTTGTGAATCAGCATTCTAGTTTATGTACATCCTTTCTGTCTTTTTTTGTTTGGAGTACTAGCTTTTATACCCATGTTTCACAAGCATATCCTTGTGTCACTGTTTCAGTTTACCACCTTTTATGTTTACTCTTGCGTTTAAAAATACAGATCCAGTTATTTTAAGTTAATGGTGATAGGTTACCCTTTTCTTTTTTCGTCACTGGACTCACTTGGTTATACTAATAGAAGTGGAAAAATGCTAATATGCCAGATAGTGAATGTTTGAATCAATACTGTTTTCAAAAATAAGAATGCTTTTGCATGAAAAATATTTTATGAGTTACTGCTTAAAAATTACAGACCAAGAACTCAGAGAAAATTTTTACATTTTTAAAAGTATGAAATAATTTTACCCAATTAATTAGAGGTTATTTTCTGTGAGATTCTATCTCAGAACGACCTTGAATCTCTTTCTTTTCAATATGTTTTTCCTTATGTTGGTGGTTTTAAGAGATAAAAAAATACTTTATTTTTAAACTTGTAGTTAGTGGTAATTCTGAATATATGATATTCTGCCTTATTTTGGATGTTTAAATACTGTTAAATTTTAGCCTTTTCCGAATAAAATTTCCTATTTGTTGATTTGTAGCATAGCTTTACGATTTCTTTTAATCTCTAAAAATATTTCTTGGAATTAATATTTTGTTCAGCAGCCACTTAGTACTTGTGATTAGGTTCTTGCCGATATTTGCAAAGCTCTTCAATTCAGTGACGCTTATCCTTTTTAAATGAGATCTTGAATTATCTTTTTTTTTTTATTGGGTAAGAAGTTTTTTACTGGGTAAGAAAAAACATTATTACATTTTGGAATAATCTCCACCTAAGCTATATAAGGCTACTGTTTTAGCTTTTGGACAAATATATCGGAAATTATTCTACATAGTTGGTGAGGTTTTTTTTTTTTTTTTGCTTGGTGAGTTTTCTGTTAGTTGGCTTAATTTGTTTATATTGGGGATGGTTTGCCTCCAAGCATAGAATGTAAAACTTCTAATTCTTTTTTCTATGCAGATGTTGGAGCGGATGTATTGGATTTAGCAGAAACAATGGTTGCATCTGCAGATGGTTTAGTTTATGAACCAGTAAGTTTGATTCACATGGTTTTTTGAAATACACGGGTTGAGGAATCGTACGCTTGAAGACAGATAGTTGCTTTTAGTTTTGTCTGAAATAGTTTTTAGTATAATTCTTTTATTTCAAAAGTAATCCATATTCTTTGTAATAAATTTAGGGGGAAAAACAGAAAAGTTATATTATATACCAAAATCTTGAGGTGACCATTATTAACATTTTGGATGTATTTTGGATGTGTCTAAAGTCTGTTTTATAACCTTTTTTAATATTTTTGTTATTACTTTCCAGTAGTTTCCTTTTCACTTTTCTTCTAGTTATAGTGATGAGTTTTTTTCTTTTTCTCTAGTAATTTGGAAACTTTTATGTCCTGTTTGTATTCTACTATGACCAAATTTAAGTATTTAAAATATTTGAACTGTATTTCTCTTACAATCAAGAATAAAGTAGTATCTTTCTAAGAGGAGAAATGTCATGGGCATTACTACTTCCTTCCTCCTTTACGCCTCTATTTCCCTCAGCGTGTGAAATGCTGACATTTTCTTATTATCTTCAGAGCACAAGTTGAATATAACATCGTAGATTTATCAGAAAATATTGTCACATTTCAGTGGCAGATACAGTGATAACGAGTCATGATCAGAACTAGCCCTAAATAAGCTTTCGAGAATAAGCATGAGGCCCTCAGCAGCTAAAAGTTGCTCTGTTGGCATGGTGGTACTTAAATTTACGCATGCGTTCTTGAGTTCCTTTTCTTAATCATTGACAATTGTGAACCTTTCTTTTAGCAAATTTGCAAAGTGAAGAGTGAAGGTGAAGGAGGGGGAGTAGAAGTGACTGAATGTATGGGGTTAAAGGAAAGAAAATGAAGTCCTTGGCCAGTTTTGATTATTGAATTAATTTTAGTTTACAGCTACAAACTTGATATGTGCCTTTTGACATATACATTTTAAATAGAAATTTCTACAGAAACAGTAACTTTTGTTATTGCCACTCTGACTCTACTTTCTGACTCGTTTTCCCACTCAAAAAATCGATTTTGAAGTAATTTTTTATGAGCTTAGTTACCTTACAGATTCATATATGACAGCATATTACACTATTATCTGCTCATTTTGATCTAAGTGATTATTATTAGATATTTTAATATTTGTATTACATTTTATACTATCTTAAGAATACTTATTTAACTTTAACTTTGTTTTTTTTTTTTTAATTTTCTGCCATTCTTACCTTATTTTTGTTTATCATTTTGAAGAGGGACTGTTTTTTCAACTTTTAGTTTAGATTCATGGAGTACATGTGAAGGTTTGTTACCTGAGTATATTGTGTAATGCTGAGGTTTTCAGGTTATGATTGATCCCATCACCCAGGTACTGGGCATAATAACTAGTAGTTTTTCAATCCTTTTCCTTCTCCCTCCCTCCCCTCTCTAATAGTCCCCACTTTCTGTTGTTGCCATTTTTATGTCTATGAGTACCCAGCGTTTAGCTCCCACTTATAAATGAGAACATATGGTGTATGGTTTTCTGTCCTGCCATTTATTTGCTTAGGATTATTGCCTCCAGCTGCATTCATGTTGCTGCAAAGGATAAAAGTTTCTTCTTTTTTATGGCTGCATAGTATTCCCTGGTGCATGTATACCACATTTTGTTTATCCCATGTACCACTGATGAGTACCTAGGTTGATTCCATGTATTCGCTATTGTGAATGGTGCTGCAATAAAGATCAGAGTGCATGTGTCTTTTGCATACAATGATTTATTTTCCTTTGAGTATATACCCAGTAATGGGATTGCTGGGTTAAATAATACTCTACGTTCTTTGAGAACTCTCCAAATTGCTTTCCACAGTGGCTGAACTAATTTCCATTTTTACCAGCAGCATATAAGTGTTCCCTTTTCTCCACAGCCTCTCCAACATCTTTTTTTTTTTTTTCTTTTTGACTTTTTAGTAATAGCCATTCTGACTGGTGTGAGATGGCCTCTCATTGTGGTTTTGATTTGCATTTCTCTTATGATTACTGATATGGAGCATTTCTTCATGTTTGTTGACCACTTGTATATCTTTTGAGAAGTGTGTGTTCATGTCCTTTGCCGACTTTTTAATGGGGTTGTTTTTTACATGTTCAATTTATTTAAATTCCTTATAGATTCTGGATATTAGACCTTTATCAGATGCATAGTTTGTGAATATTTTCTCACATTCTGTAGGTTGTCTGTTTACTCTGTTGGTAGTTTTTGTTTTTGTTTTCTGTGCAGAAGCTCTTTAGTTTAATTAGCTCCCACTTTTCAATTTTTGTTTTTGTTGCAATTGCTTGTGGGGACATAGTCATAAATTCTTTCCCAAGGGTGATGCCCACAATGGTGTTTTCTAGGTTTTCTTCTAGGATTCTTATAGTTTAAGGTCATTTAAATCTTTACCCATCTTGAGTTAATTTTTGTATATGGTGAAAGATCTGGGCCCAGTTTCATTCTTCTGCATATGGCTAGCCAGCTCTCCCAGCACCATTTATTGAATAGAGAGTCCTTTCTCCATTGCTTATTTTTGTTGATTTTGTCAAAGATCAAATGGCTGCAGGTGTGCAGCTTGATTTCTGGATTCTCCATTCTGTTGAGGGGGGACTTTTTGAGATTTATTTTACAGCAAGAATGTGTAGGTATGTTTTATGGATTCTAGCATGACTGCCTGTATCTTCTGCTATTATCTTTTATTACCCATTTTCTCTGTTGCTCTGAACTGGGAAAATCCCTTTCACATGGGTTTTTCTATCCTATGAAATAAACTTATTTTGTGCTCTTTCTCAATTTGGTTTCATTTGTATGTTGTCTTGTATAAATTCATGAAAGTTTACAGCATATGAATATTAATTTAAAATGATTTAAGATGATAATAAAGGTTGCATCCTCATTTTTATGTTTCTTTTGGATGCTGAGAATTATTGTTTATGTATTATAATCTTGAATGTATCCTCTAAAAGTCACTTACACTGTTTCTCTAGCATTCTGTCCATATTCTAACTGTTGTGGTCACTCTCTTTTTTTTTTTTTTTCACATTTATGAGATGCCTGATGCTATCTTTTTTTTTCCCCCTACATCTCTTATCTTTCTAGCTGGATTTTAAGCTCTTGAGAATCATTAATTTCATTCTTTCATCTTTGTAGTTCTCAAAATGCATTGCAAAATGCTTTGCAGATTTTAGGCAATAGTGATATGTTAGAATTAAGCAGTTGGGACAGTATTGTTGACTGTTTTCATTGTAAACAGTTTCTGCCATCTCTTCTAGTAGTTTATGGAGCAGGAAAATTTTATTTAAATTGTTATAATTAAAAATTGTATCTTAATGAGAAAGTTAAGAACTTCAAAATATTTAATTGTATACTTTTCATTAGTAATATTTAAAGTGTTTAACCATGCTTTTAGGAAACTATTCATTCCTTTGTGCTAATTTATATAAAAGTGTTTAAGAATTATTTTTAATATAAAATTATTAAAAATATCATTTTAACTTAAAAATTTTTCACTCATTATTTTAATATGCACTCTGAATATTAAAAACCTAGCCCTGATAACTTTACTAGTTTACAAGCCATGATCATACAATATGCTATGATAGTTACTATTCTGCTATTTCTATTGCATTTAGTTACTATTTAAAGACAAGAAGAATTTTTAAAAGGTGGGAAAGTAAGAAATCTGACAGAGCTGAATTTGTGTATTGGTTGTTACTTACTATCTGTGATTTTGGAAAGTTTGTAACTTTTTGAGCTCCTGCTTCCTCATGTGCAAAAAGGGAAGAGGAGTAAAAAATTCACGAGGTGGTTAGGAAGGTTAAGTGAGATAATGAATTAGCATAGGGCCTACAAAGTAGTTTCTTTATACCTTTGTGCTAAGTAAACATTGTACAAAGAAGGTTTTGGAATTCAAAGGAAAAATCATATAGTCGCCACTGTCAATCATTTTATTTATACATTAGCTGGAGAGTAACTGCCAACAGCCTTATTGGTTTGCTGTGTTGTGTTTTATAGATGTTAGCATTTTCCTTATATGCTATAATGTGAAAAAGGTTTGGTAGCATGCTTTAGGCAAATTCATCAGGAGGTGTAATCAAAGGAAACATCAGAAAGATTGGGACAATTTAACTTGAAGCATATAGTTATATAAAACTTAGACATGAGGCTCTCACAGTTACCGGAGAGGCATGTTCCAGATTGATGTAATTAAATTAAAAAATCAAATCACAGAAGTAGAGCTGTGAACTAGGACTAGTAAAGTGGATTTTTTTTTTTTTTGAAACGGAGTTTCACTTTGTGTCCCAGACTGAGTGCATTGGCAAGATCTCTGCTCACTGCAACTTCCACCTCCCGGGTTCAAGCAATTCTCGTGCTTCAGCCTCTTGAGTAGCTGGGATTACAGGTGCCTACCACCAGCTGATTTTTTGTATTTTAGTACAGACAGGGTTTTTTTGTATTTTAGTAGAGGCAGGGTTTCACCATGTTGCCCAGGCTGGTCTTGAACTCCTGAGCTCAGGCAATCCGCCTGTCTTGGCCTCCCAAAGTGTTAGAATTACAGGCTTGAGCCACCATGCCCGGCCGAAAAGTGGATTATTGTTGCAAAATTAAATTGTGGATATAGCTACTATGAGAAGTTTGCATATTTTTCTCTGACTCTGCAAGTAGCCAAGTCTAACTTTGATCATGCCTAGATAAAATTTCTTAAGTAGTTCTTTGTTGATCAATGCATTTGGGAATTAACTGTGCTATTTTTAAACTCATTTCAAAAATTGTTGATTTTATTATTGTATTTTACCAGCAAGAATTTGGGCTTTGGATGCTTGAATATAACTCTGTATTTTTGTACCCTAATACTTGTGAATTTCATGCTAGCATCATTTAAATGATTTTAAGCCCTAGGATACCATTTTGTACATATGATAAATTGTCAACTTGCATATATTCCTGTAAATGTCGATAACTGTAACAGGAAAGTATTTGTGATTAGAAAATTTCTTTATGCTATTTTTCAGTAAAGATAGCACATTAAAATTTTAATTTGACTTATAGAAGTTGAATGTAAACCATGAATACTTGTTTTTAACAACACTTAAGTTTATGTTTCCTGCTCAAAGAAAAAATTTTAAATTATGATGTAAAAGCCAAGAGAATTTGACAATGCTAGTGATTATGTTTTCTTTCATTTCAGACAGTATTTGATCTTTCACCACAGCAGAAAGAGTGGCAGAGGTAATAAGAGAACAAAGTATTGTGGTCCATAGAAATCTAAGTCATATTTTGTCTATTGTAAACTATTTATAGATTAACACATTTCTCTAGGGATTTCTTTGGATGAATTCTTAGCAGAATTTGGTATATAATATAATCCTTACAATTTCAAAAACCATCAGATCTTAAGAAAGTCATGCATAATCTTTTCTCTGGTAAACTTTGATTCATAAGTTTTAGTTTTTATTTAAAATGGTATCAACTATTTACATTTTTTGATTACAAAAGTAATATATGATCATTTTAAAAATTCAATTTGAATAGAAATGATATAAAGCAAGATTGTCCAGACTGCGGCCCCACAGGAAGGCTTTGAATGTAGCTTAACACAAATTTGTAAACTTCTTTTTTTTTTGAGACAGAGTCTCACTCTGTTGCCAGGCTGGAGTACAGTGGCGCAATCTTGGCTCACTGCAACCCCCACCTCACAGGTTGAAGCGATTCTCCTGCCTCAGCCTCCTGAGTAGCTGGCGCACACTACAGGCACACACCACCATGCCCAGCTAATTTTTTGTATTTTTAGTAGAGATAGGGTTTCACCATGTTGACTAGGCTGGTCTTGAACTCCTGAACTGAAGTGATCCGCCCATGTTGGCCTCCCAGAGGGCTGGGATTACAGGCATGAGCCACTGTGCCCGGCCACAAATTTGTAAACTTTCTGAAAAAGTTATGAGATTTTTTTGTGATTTTCTTTTTTTTTTAACTGATCAGCTATAGTTAGTGTGTTTTATGTGTGGCCCAAGATAATTCTTCTTACAGTGTGGCCCAGGGAAGCCAAAAGATTGGGCACCCAGATACAAAGTAAATGTAAAAGCCCCCTTCTCTTTCTGTAAACTAATGCCACTGACTAGCAGTAATAACCAGTGATAAGTTTCTTGGGTAGCCTTCTAGACAGACATTTTCTGTGTATGTATATAATATGTATATTATATATATTTCTGTGTATATATATACAAAATTATGATAATTCTTACATATAATCTATATAATATATAGTACATAATTGTATATATAGTTCTTGTATATCATATATGAGTATATTATATATTTATAATATATAAAAGTTTATATATTCATTATATATTTTATAATATATCATATTTATATATTTTTATAATGTGTTATATTTAAAAACATATAATTATTTCTATACAGAAATATATATACAGAAATAAGTTGCTTTTTTCCACCTAACATGATATTTTGGATTCATTTCTATATATATAATGGTCTATTTTATGGATAGATTGTAGTTTATTTAATTGGATCCTTATTGATGCATATTTAGATTGCTTTTAGAATTCTAATATTAAAAACAATACTCAATGAACATTCTTGAACCTAATTCTGTACATGTTTGTGTGTGTGTGTATTTCTAGAAATAGAATTTCTTTCTCTGAGGATATTTAACATTTTGATAGTGCCTATATCCTCCCAAATTATTATTTCACTTATACTCCAAAAGGCTATATTAGAGTACTTGTTTCTGTACAACCTCACCAACAACAGGAATGCCTAGAATTTTTTTAAATGTATGCCAGTTTGATGGGTGAAAATTGGTACTATGCTTTTATTAATTAACATTTCTTTATGAATCAGTTGTGAGGTTTTTTTCCTTATTTGTATTTTTTTGTGAAAATGTTTGCCTATGTGCCTATTTTGCTTGGTTAGTTTTCTTAGAAGAATTATTTTTAAATTAAAGAAAATAGTACTTTGTTATAAGTGCTTCCGTCTCCCACCCCCATATATTGCTTTTTATTTTCTAGGTTATGTCTTGCACTTATAAAGGCTTTATATAGTTTAAGATTATTCCAAAAAATTTTTCTTTACCCGTTTTTTTTTCCCTAGTCCCTAAGTATATTCCAAGAGTCTTTCTCTTTTAATTTCCAGTTTCACCACTTGAATGTGGGTGAACAAAAGCACTGAATATTAGCTGTCTCTGGGCTCTTAGAATTTTTAGTAGAAAGCCATCCACAGATGAAATACTTTACTTTGATCCAGAAACATTAAAGTGAGATTTCTCCTTTCATTTAGAATTTTTTTCAATGCTCGAAACTAGTAATAAGTGGGAGAAGAGATTGTATTTTTACTATTAAGATGATATAAATTTGCCATCATAGTAGTTTTCTGCATACTTTCATGTGTGGAATATAGGCTGGGATATTTATTGGCACAGTGAAGGCAGAAATTTTTTTCATAAACACACATAATATATACATACATATACACGTATGTATAGTTTGTTGTCATCAAACCCCTTGATCACTGCCATGCTTCAAAAGTTGATCTCTCGAATTACAAGACACAAAAAAAGTGAAGATTTCCATTTCTGCTGGCATTGAATCCAAAGATTCAATGTCAAAGATTCAATGTCTTTAAATGTCTGAATCTGAAGATGGGATCTGGCTTCTTGAAGCATCCTAGATTATCACGTTCTGATTCTAAACATTATTAAATAGCTCTTGAATGGCCTAGAGATACCCAAGGTAGATATCTTCCTAACTAATGTGCATACCAAAATGTTCTTTACTTCTAGAATTTTCTAAGAGATTTAAATTTTCTCTCAGTTGGTGTTCTATAATACTTTCCTAAAATATTTAGGATCACAATTAATCTCTCTTTAACTGTAAATTTCAAACCCTGGACAGAACCTTTCTGGTTTCTACTTTTTATGTCGAGATTTCAGATTTATTTTATTCCAAACTATACAGTATAAATATGAGTTGTTATTTTACATAGGCCTGTTATACTAATTTTCTAGATAGATGATGCATAAGTTTTTAATCTTCTGCTTGCACATCTAGAAAGTACTTATTTTATCATTATGGTGGGATGGTAAAGTATTATGAGATTCACATTTGCTTTCTTTTTGTGAGTACCTATGTTTATAACTTTTTTCCAAGTTACATGTATGTATTTTTCTTTTAGAGTAGTTAGGCTCACAGCAAAATTGAGCAGAAAGTAGTGTTCCTATATACCCGTCCCGCTACAGGTTCCCCCATTATCAACAACTTGCATCAGATTGGATATAGTTGTTATAATCAGTGAACCTATGTTGACACATCATCATCACCATAGTTTACATTAGAGTTCGTTCTTGGTGTTGAACGTACATTCTGTGAGTTCTGACAAATGTATAAGGACATGTATCTACCATACTGCCATACAGAATGATTTCACTGCTGTAAAAATTATCTGTGCTCTGCCTGTTTATTCTTCCCTTCCCACTGTGTATAACATTTGTACTTACCAAGTTTGAACTTTACTACAGATGATTTGGAATATTAGTTATTTGAAGAAATAGAATTAAAAGAGATAAAATAGGACTACATCTAATGACACAAAGTTATTGCTGAAAATTGTAGGAGTTAACATGGCTCAATGGTAGAAGTATTGTAGAGAGAAAAATTTTTGTAGTGAAAATCAGTTACTTGTGGTATGAGTTTATACTGAGTAATGTACCATTTCAAGTCCATCAAGTCCATTGTGTAGCCCCTTATTTGTCCTACTCTTTGTATCTACAATATTTCATTCAGTGTCTGACAAAGATAAGAATTTTGTTAATTGTGCATGTATGCATGAAAGATGAATTGAGATACTTAAGTGAGTAGAAGCCCTACTTTGGTGGTCCTGATGGCACATCCATTACTGATGGAATCAAACAAGCTTATGGAGCTCAGCTATTAGACCTCTTAGCCACCCTGCCTCATTTGCTTTCAAGGAAATGACCAAAGAAAACTTGGTATGTTATTTTAGAATATGAAATCCTGTAATAATAAATGTATGATTTAACTAAGTCAGCTAAACATTGTCATTTTTGAATAAGTGTCAGCTCTCTTTGTGTACCTTTCTGTAGTTCTAAATTATTGCTTCTTATTTAGGATGCTGCAGCTGATTCAGAGTAGGCTACAAGAAGAGCATTCACTTCAAGATGTGATATTTAAAAGTGCTTTTAAAAGTACATCAACAGCTCTTCCACCAAGGTGAGATCTGTATTTTAAATGTGCAACTGTTTATTATGAATTTACTTTGACATAGTTAAAACTAAAGTGTTGGTTTAGTTTTCTGAATCTTATTTTTCTTAGGAAGGGAAAATAGAATCATTCTGTACTATAAAGACGCCTTTTGCTCTTAAATTTATAGCCTGTGATTTTGATCAGAATTATCACAAATATTTATTTGCATTTAATTTTCTTTTTTATGCGTGGTATACCCCCACATAAAATTATATTGAGTTTTAAGAAAAATTAGTTTCATTTACTATTTTGAGGATATATAAGCTTTGGTTAGAAATTTTGTTTTATTTCCCGTTTTTGTATTTTAATTAAAGATTAGAGGCTGGGCGCAGTGGCTCACGTCTGTAATCCCAGCACTTTTGGAGGCCAAGGTGGGCGGATCATTTGAGGTCAGGAGTTCGAGACCAGCCTGACCAACATGGTGAAACTCCGTCCCTACGAAAAATACAAAAAAATTAGCTGGGTGTGGTGGGTGCATGTATGCAGTCCCAGCTACTTGGGAGGCTGAGGCAGGAGAATAGCTTGAACCCAGGAGGCGGGGTTACAGTGAGCCAAGATTGCACCACTACACTCCAGCCTGGGTAGCAGAGCAAGACTGTGTCTCAAAAGAAAAAAAAAAAAGATTCGTGGATATTTGGAAATGCTATAATCATAAACATAATAAAAATATACAAGATTTTACATTTGCTTAGGAAGAAAATGTCACTGTCTCTTTGAATTTAGGTGGCATGCCTTTCCTTTACCTCAATCATGTTTCTGCCCTCCCTCCCTCTCCCTGCTACAGTACCAGAAATAAATGAAAAAAATATGTCTTTTTGGACTAATTATTTTGTTTTAGTCTTCTGTCACTGGACTTAGTCCTCTGGTTAGAGTTGAAGAACCATGGAATTTCAAATTTATGTAAATGTAATAGATATTAAATACTTTTTTCCCATTTTATAGATGTATAATTTTTATAAATGTCTAGACTTCAGGAAACTATTCTATTTTTAACATTTAGAATATTACCTAAAAAATGATCTTTAGGGATTTTTTTTTCTATACACATTTTTCTCATCATAAAATGGTAACTGTATTGAATGTGCTTTAAATAATATATCTTATTTTAACAGAGAAGATGATTCATCACAGTCTCCAAATGCATGCAGAATTCATGGCCATCTATATGTCAATAAAGTAGCAGGGAATTTTCACATAACAGTGGGCAAGTATGTTCTTTTCACTTACTGAAAATACTTTAGACAAAGTTGGAGCTTGGTTAAAAGTAAATTCTGGCCGATGGCTCGCGCCTGTAATCCCAGCACTTTGGGAGGCTGAGGCGGGTGGATCACCTGAGGTCAGGAGTTCAAGAACTGCCTTCCCAACATGTTGAAACCTCATCTCTACTAAAAATACAAAAAATTAGCTGGATGTGGTGGCAGGCACCTGTAATCCCAGATACTCGAGGGGCTGAGGCAGGAGAATCGCTTGAACCCAGGAGGCGGAGGTTGTAGTGAGCCGAGATCGCGCCACTGCACTACAGCCTGGGCGATGAGCAAAACTCTGTATCCAAAAAAAAAAAAGTAAATACTTTGCTAATCAAATAAATACAGCTAACTACTAAAGGCTTGCTTAAAATATTGTGTACATATATTTTTAATGTCTTGAGATTGTTGTCTGGGGCTTCAGTCTCAGGATAGAGAAGACTACTAACTTTAAAAACTACTTCAAAACAAAAGTAAAACAGTCATCTCATGTTTTGTATATTAAAGTAACTGAACTGTAGGTAAATATCAATTACAGCCTTCTACTTGCCAGGTTTTAGTGGCCAGAGAGCTCTTACCTAGACATTTCATTAATTTGTTCATTTTTTTTGGTATGTTATTAGGTTTTTGTCTTAATGTTTTGGTGGTCCTCATCAAAATGTAATTCCTGACTAATCCTAGATAAGTGTTTTGATAAAGTTAGAAATTAGCAGTGTCTAGAATAAAGTTAAATTAGGTAAAAGTTAAGGAAAAATATGAGCAGCACTCAGCACAGAAATTGTCATAAACACTTGTGAAATTTTTGAATGAATAAATAGATCCATCCATCTTTCCCTCCCTTCTTTTCCATATAGAGTGCTGAACTGAACAATTCTTTATTGTACAAGACATTTTTTGAGTACTTGCTATGTGCAAAGTACTGTGCTAGAAACTAAGGATAAACAGTGAAGAAAAAAATAAAGGGTTTTTGCCCTTTTTAATTTATTTTATTCCAAACTATACAGTATAAATATGACTTGTTATTTTAAATAGGCCTGACATTCTATAAGAAAATCCACACTTAAGCAGTGAATACATTAATAATTATTTAATTATAGTTGTATTGAGCCTGTAAAGGAGAAGTATGGCTGATAAGAGACTATTTAACAAGGTATTAAATGTACGCTGCAAGTCAGTGGAGACTTTATTGAGGAAGACCTTTGAACACTAGGAGAAGAGGAGGAATTTAATATATAAAGGAGGGAAGGGCATACAGCAGGAAAGAGCATGGCTGGAAGTTTATAAAATACATATAGAGATAACATTAGATTTCTATGAAAAAGTATTTCAGTATTTACAATACTCAGATCAAACATTTGTTTTTTTCCTCATTATCTCTTGAAATTTATGTTTTGTTGTTTTGTTACCATTACCCATCTCCAACCCAACCTGTTGCTGGGAACCTTGGAATGTCTTGAAATCTTAGCTTAAAGAAATTTAGCAGATTTTATTGCACCTTTGGATACAAACAATATTCTAGTCCACAACCAACTCAAAGAGGGAAATTTTGACAAATATTATAATCAGACTCTATATTATGTCCCTTTTTAAAATTTGTTTTTGGTCTTTTCACAATTTCACTTTCCTTCCCAGGTGGTAACTCACACTATCAGAGAGGCCAAATAGAAAAGCATTTGGTTCATATCTTGTCATCTCAGGGATATCCTGTAAACCCACTCCTAATTTTTAGTGTTACATTTGTCAAGTTCAATATTGATCTTTTTGAAGGTCTCATATTACCTCTCAGACACAATGTCAGTCTCAACTGTAATTTAAAAGAGTAATAAAAGGAACATAATTTGTAACACAATATGTATTTCAATATGCTTGAGCGTGAATACACTAGAAGACATAATGAAGTAGGCAGATGCTTGCCACTTATATGTAGAATTTTTAAGTGTATAATTGCTACAAATGCAGACTGAAACAGATGTATTGGCTACTCAGATATCATGAGTGACATTTCCGTTGATGAGATGATATTCAGAAATAGGAATACCTCTTTGTAATATTAAACAAAACAGAATATAAGCTTCCCTTAGTTTTCTGGGAAATTTAGTGTATATTAAAACTACAACTTTATATAGCTAAATGGGGTTCAGTTCTAGACTCAGATTATTATAATAGGCTTTTCATGTACATGAGTATCTCTTAGAACATTTGAAAGTCAGGCAAATCCTGGAATGATTCTTTTTTGTGTGAGACTGTCAATTTCATTGCAGGATGCCTTGTTTCTGTGGCTGTTGTCCAGTAAATCCCAATAGCAACCCCTTCCCAATAATTCTGACAACTCAAAATGCCTCTCTTCACCCCCCACCAATTTTCAGAACAACTTTTCCTCCACTGAAAGTCATTCAGGCTAGATTCTTGTCTGATAGGGTAGAAAATATCCCAGAAAAGAAACAGGTAAATTCTGAATATCCATCCTCCCTATGCAGAGTTTTAACAAGTGTCAGATAACTACAGTCATCTGTACTAGGGTGATTTAATTTGATTTTTAAATTTAATTTTTTGAAGAAGATGCTCACTTATGCTGTTACTTCATAAAATGAATACACCTGTTAACAAAAAAAAAAAGAAGGAAATATTATTTAAAACAGCTCTCTGTTCCTCTCAGAGTAAAATCCTGGGTGGTGAGAGAGATCATTGAAGTAAAATGTATAGGTTGAGCATCCCTTATCTGAAAATCTGAAATTCAAAATGCTCCAAATTTGGAGCATTCAAAATACTCCAAATTTGAGCATTGTCAACACGATGCTCAAAGGAAATGCTTAAGAGTGTTTCAGATTTCAGGTTAGGGAGGCCTCCCTGGCAAATAAAATGTACATATTCTAAAATCTAAAATTTGAAACTTCTGATCCCAAGCATTTTGGATAAGGGATATTCAACGTGTAGTATTGTAATTTGGTTATTCAGAAAAACTTTGTTGTTTGTTTGAAAATAATAGTAGGAACACTGTTAGACTGACAATATGATTGGAGCTAGTAATAATTTATGACAGTAGACTTTCTTTTTAGTAGTAAGCTTGAGGTAATACACTTGACTGTGAACACAGAAGAATTTACGAGACCAAACTACCAATCATTCCAGTGCATCAGGAAATGCTTTATTGAGCAAGGTTTTAGTATACTTTATGTTGAATGTCAGTTAATACATTTCCCTAATCATTGTATTGCCTTTTTTAAAGTGCCTGGTGTTTTGCTAGGTAACACATAGAACAAATTAAACAATGTTTAGACCTACTAGGGCATATTCTGAAACTTGACAATGGTAACAGACAGTTAATTGGTTATAAAGAAAGAAGGCTCCTTTATGGAGAGTTTCTATTTTCAGTTTTTTAGTTAATTGCTAGAATTAGTAACTGGGTAAAGCAGGATTGTGATAAAGGAGATCTTCAAGGTGATTTTTTAATTTTTTTTAACCAGGAACAGGGAAGGATAGTACTTATTTGTAGAAGTGTAAAGGTGCTAAAAGAACAGGTTAAATTTGAAAGATAACAGTGTATAACAGAACAAAGGTTTACTGCAGTGGTAGGCAAACTACAGTTTATATACCAAATCCAGCCTACTACCTGTTTTTGTATGGTTCATGAGCTAAGAAGGGCTTTTAAATTTTGTTTATTTATTTGTTTGTTTATTTTTTTGAGACAGAGTCTCGCTCTGTTGCTCATGCTGGAGTACAGTGACGTGATCTGGGCTCACTGCAATCTCTGCCTCCCAGGTTCAAGTGATTCTCCTGCCTCAGCCTCCTGAGTAGCTGGGATTACAGGTAGCCCACCACCACGCCCGGCTAATTTTTGTATTTTTAGTAGAGACAGGGTTTCACCATGTTGGCCAGGCTGGTCTCGAACTCCTGACCTCAGGTGATCCACTCACCTTGGCCTCCCAAAGTGCTAGGATTACAGGTGTGAGCCACCTTGCCCAGACATGGTTTTTACATTTTTAAATATTTGAAAATAAATCAGAAGGGGAGTAATATAATACATGAGAAATATATGAAATTTAAATTCGTGTCCAAAAATAAAGTTTTATTGGCATATAGCCATGCTCATTTGTTTATATATGGCTGCTTTTGTATTACAGTACCACAGTTGAGTAATTATGGCAGAGACCATATATGACTCTCTCATTACTTTGTACTTTGGTGTACTATGAATTGTAGTGATGCAGTTATAATTTGACAGCATTAAAAGTGCTGTGTGTATTCCTGTCCTGCAACATTTTATTTATTTATTGTATTACTATGTTAAAAAAAAGAAATATGGACTTCAAATGTTGCATTTTTAAAGCACAGTGTACCATGGATTATTTGATCAAATTTGGCTGCAGAACATCCTGCGTATTAAGCAATGACACTATTTAATTGTGCTAAAAAGAATACAGTATCTGTTGATGGTGCCAGATTGAGCATTCATCACAATATTACCAACCTATAAAAAAGCAATGATCAGAAAAATTAGAAAATTAAAAATGGAATATCCAAACACTGTAGAATTTTATCATAAAACGTGAAAATGAAGCTGTAATCTTTAAGTGCCTCATTGTTTAGCAAGTAAGGAAAGCCATCCAAGTATTGATAAGTCTGTGAAGCAATGTTTGACTGCCAAAGCTAAAGAAATGACTCCAGAAAAAATAAATTTGCTTTAGACAATCAGATGACTAGCCTTCTTCAAGAAGAGTGTTCTGGTAGATGAGGACATTGAGAGCAGTATCTAATAGCCAGTTAAAAAACAAGCCAGGAGATTTTGAGTAGTTCCTAAACTCTTGATAAGTGGACAGATGTTACTAGAACTGCTTATTGTTTATTTGAGGAATCAATGCTGAATTTGAAGTGATTGCAGAATTAGTATCTATGAATCGCCTGCTTTCAACAAAAACTATAGGCAAGAATATTTTTATAGAAGTTGAGAGAACACAAATTCAGTACATCCTAAAGTGGAATCTGGTATATGTTACAAATGTATTATAACTGATGGTGGTGTGTGGAGCAGAAAAAGGCTTACTTGAATGCATTTCAAACCTTGTGAAAATGTAGTGTTTAATGCCTATTGCTTTGCAGAAAATATTTGAATTGATTTTGTATTTTAAACTGGTGTGTCAGTGGTAAACTTCATTTGCTCTCCTGAACCTAAATATTGACATTTCCATGGTTTTTTTTTGTCAGATATAAAAACTGAATATTCCATCTTGCCCTACTACATAGCAGTTTGATGGCTTAGCAGTATATTTTTTGAGCTCAGTGCCAAGATTGAATTTTTTCTGAGTGAGAGAACTTCCATCAGTTACAATTATTGAGCAATGAATATTTTTGGAAATTAAGTTTCATGCAGACTTAATAATGTTTAATGAATTTAGCCTAAAAGTATAAGGGAAAACCAATATTTATGAAATTTATATTGTAGTAAAGTTGTTTCAATGACTAGTGATTTTGAGTGGTTTCTTTTAATTTTCATGCCTTGATAGCGTTTGCTGTCAAAAGTTAAAGCAAGGATCTGGACTCATTCTCATACTTGAATATATTTTCTGACCTTTCAAACTATAGTTCCAGAACTTCAGACATTGATGCAAATACAAAGGAAATTTCCATGTTTCAAATTCATTTCACTGCACAATTGAAATTTTGCTTTAATTTAGATTGGAAGTTATTAATCTGCAATATAATAACATGTTTATAAGTAAATAAGTATTAGGAGAATAATCTACTGGAATTCTATAAATGTCTTTCAAGCAATGAATATGCTCAACACATACTCGTGGATTAATATTTTCAAAGATGAAATATTTAAAATTTCATTACAGATCATCATCATCAGATAAAGATTTATGGTCAGTTTTGAAAATAGGGAACATTCCAAACCCCAATTAAACAAAGTGTAATCTCCCTGCAAAACAGTTGTATTACAAAAAAAAGGACTCATTACTATTATATCAATGAAAAGTTTGTGAAAATTTGCTTTTTCTCATTATGTAACTACATAATATACTTGATTTTGCATCATGGTCCACAAAGCCTAAAGTATTTACTATCTGGCTCTTTGCCAAAAATGTTTGCCAACCTCCAGCAGTTTATTGCATTGCTGAGATGAGTAGACTTGTCTGCTCAGTCAATAGGCCAAATGCATTCTTATGTTATTTTGTACTAAGAAAAATTATATAACTTAGGGAAGATCCAGTTTCTGATTTTAATTAATTATACATATAAATGGTACTACTTTAATAATTGTTTTTTCTCCTTTCAGGGCAATTCCACATCCTCGTGGTCATGCACATTTGGCAGCACTTGTCAACCATGAATGTAAGCAGATTCTGACTTTTTTTCAGTAAAGATGTACTTGAAAAAATATTATTTTTAAAAGTGCAGATATAGTGTAGTTGAAAGTGAGCTGTTTTGAAAACATATTCATCCAAAGGAAAAAATAAATTTTTAAATTGATTTACTTTAATCTGCATTTGTATTTGGTCATGGCTCTGAGTTGCTGAGGTTAGGGAGGAAAGCCTAGTGTACTTTCTATAACTTTGTACACATTTCTGCTAATTTTTAGGGATAAAGAAAATAATATATTTGCAGTTTATTTCAATTTGCAAATTGAAATATGGATGTATAGACATGTATAAAGTATTCAGGTTAGTTTGGTATCATGATTGTCTTAAGACTTAAGTTCTTAAAGTCTGCTTTAGAGGACAAAACAAGTAATGGATTCCACAGAAAATTAGTTTGGTCACATTTAGCAATAGTGTATTAAAAATATATCTGATCAGTTTTATTATATGGCCACATGGCCATCATTCCAATTCTAACAATACCGTCCTGTTAACTATATGATGATTTGGAAAAGGAAAGATGTATATTTTTGGCTTTCATTATATATTAATATTTTCTAGACGTTAAATTGTATATAATTATTAAATTTGAGATATAGCATTTTGTCAGAATTTATTTTATACATTTAATTCGCATATATTTACATTTATTTTTCTCAAAGTATTGTGGCTTAAAATACTGTATTATTATCCTTGAAGATTTTAAACATTTTCATTTGAGAATAGATAAGGATGTAAACCAGTCTGTACCAAGTAATTTTGAATAATATAATTTCTCTGCTAAGTTGTTTTTATTTTTTGCCTTTTAGCTTACAATTTTTCTCATAGAATAGATCATTTGTCTTTTGGAGAGCTTGTTCCAGCAATTATTAATCCTTTAGATGGAACTGAAAAAATTGCTATAGATCGTAAGTATTTAATAATTATTGTTGGATTTTACATGTAGAAAATTTTGCTTATAACCTGAATATTAATACATTTTTAATGTCTTCCTAACTACTGTGTAAAGATAATCTTTAAGTGGTTGGTGATTGAGATGTATGTGAAGAGAATTTGTCCTAGTAGTGGATGAAATTTGAATATTCAAAAATGAGCCATAGAACAGAATAAAGAAATTCAAGTTAAAAGATGAAGGAATTAAAAGGCAGAAGGAGTTCAATTTAAACAGTAGAAATAGATGAAAGGTTAATACATTAACAGGGCATAACTGCACTTTTTTGTATTCACCAAAGAATAAGAATGAAAAAAAGGTTCAACATTATGAGAAGAATTTTCTTCTTTGTATAATATAGGTTCAAAGTTTTAAAATGCATATATATCATTTCAGAAACCTCTCTGGAGAATTTTACAAACACCAGAAACCTAGTTATTCTGGAATGGTTTGGTTATTAACATAGAAGGAGTACATTATAGCACAGATAACCTTTTTAAAATGTTCTATTTAACCTTCTGCTCCATTTAAAGTATCAAGTCTATCCAAATATGGAAAGATCATTTTCTTAGTTTTTTAGAAAGTAGTCTGTTCTCATGTTTTCTGCAGGTTTTTGATTGCCTCTTTCTAAAATAGTCATATTATATACCATGTTCCAGCTATTGGACATTTTAAGGACTTCTGAAGCTTGTTCAGCTAGTAGGAATTCTATCCTTTGTAAAATTGTAATTAAGGATTTAGTTTTTTATTAATTTAAGTAGATTTATTAATATCCTATTCAGATTTATTCATATTCTTTACTTTTTAGCAGTGTTATAATCATATATTAAAGATGTTTAGAATTTAGAATACTGATTTACATTCATGAATATTTTATGTTCATGTGGGAATGTTTCACTTCAGGAAACCTGAGTGTACTAAATTTAGAAATGTGTGGATGGAAACATTTTGAGATTTATAAGCTTTAGTCAGTATAATCTAATCTGTAATCTAAGCATATGTTAATTCTCCTCTGAAATGCATTGCATGTTACCTGAGAGATGCTCATTTGGAAACATACTGGTCGATGCTTTGTTTCAAGATGCTAAAATGAACTACAAATTTTTGCACAGAAGCTCTTCTAAATATAAACAGGTCAATTTTCAAAAAGCTGTTTTTAAGTGTACTTCTTTATAAATTCAGAGAAACTAAGAGGTATTTAGAGTCATATTCTGAAATGCCGTTAGGTGAGTATCATCAGGTTTTTCAAAGCTTTAAAGCAGTTTGTATACTTTTCTCCTTCGTAATATATGTTTTTTTCAGCCTCTTTTTCCAAAAAGAAAAAAATCAACATTACATATCTGCTATGTCAGGTAGCTATCCCTTTCCTGATGTTCTCCAGAAGTATTGCAGGAGTTACTTAACAATTAACATCTTTAATGCAGTACAGATTTGGATAAACAAGGTAGACATAGTCCCTGCCCTTCATAGAGCGCACGTTCCTATAGGGAATTAGATCTTTAGGTAATAAGTGTTAGGGCAAACGGCTCTGAACAAAATAAAGGAGATTGCCTATGATATGAGAAAGGGCATGGAAGAGGCTGTGGTATTTGAAAAAAACTTGAGTGAAGTAAATAAGTGAGCTAAGCGATTATCTTTTTGAGAGCATTGCAGGCAGCTTTATTATTAATGAAGCCGGTAGAAATAAAACAACCTATATGTGCTGCCACAAACTGGACAACCTAACTCCATACTCCTCCTACCCTGCTGACTTCTCAAATGGCAGGGATGGCTCACTTTCCTAATGGTAGAAGGTGGTTATGTATGTCTTGAAGACAGAGCTGTTTAAGAGAGAGAATGCCTATACTATCTAATTGAGTGGCTTAGCCACACATGATTACTTTTTGCAGATGAATCATTCCTTCCATGAGTGAGAGAGAAGTGGAGAGGAAGGTCAAAGCTTTTACTCTTTTATGTACAAAGGGGTGCAAGCTTCTATTTAAATCTGGGAGAATTTTTTCTGCTTAAATTTAAGACCATATTCCCCTTGAGTGGAACCGCCTGGGTTCAAGTTCTCACTCTGCCACTTAATAACTTGGACTTTGGCCTGTTTCTTAACATCCCTGTACTTGAGTTGCTTCATCTCTAACAAAAGGATAATAAAAACATTTACTTGCTTCTCTAGTTGAATCTATGGATAGGTGTATCTAATTATACTTTTTCTAGAGAATTCTCTAGACCCGGAGAATTAACATGTTTTATATTATGTGAATGGGTAATTGTTTACAGTTAATTAGTAATTGGTAATATTCTGGTATTTAAAACTTGTGTCAAACTTAGAGATGCCTAATGACTGTATAAAAATGATCCTTTTGATTATACAGTAACCCCAGGCCATCATTGAGTAGTTTCTTTAGTTTTCTTCCTACTGTAATATCAGTTCCTTGTATTTATTCAAAGGCTAGCTAATTTGATTTTGGTTTAGTGTATATCTTAAGATATTAGTAGAAACTGAAAATATGTCTTGTGGTGGTTATTCTCTTATAATTTTATTTTATTCTTAGTTTCTGTACTATAAAGAAATGCTGGCTGGGTGCAGTGGCTCACACCTATAATCCCAGCGCTTTGGGAGACTGAGGCAGGAGGATCACTTGAGCCCAGGAGTTTGAGACCAGCCTGGGCGACATGGCAAAACCCTGTCTCTACTAAAAATGAAAAAAATTTAGTTGGGCTTGGTGGCGTGCATTGTAGTCCCAGCTACGCAGGAGGCTGAGGCGGGAGGATTGCTGGAGCCCAGGAAGTCAAGGCTGCAGTGAGCCGTGATTGCGCCACTGCACTCCAGCCTGGGCGATGGAGTGAGACCCTATCTCAAAAAAAAAAAAAGGAAAAAGAAAAATGCTACTTTTCCATAATTGATAAAAGGATGTTAACGATTTTAAGGAATATTTAACTAAGTCACCAATTCATTTTTTTAAACATCTGTGTTGCCCATCTTATGCTTGCTGAGAACTTGTTTTACCGAGTATAAATATGTTGCTTTCATTGGTTCTTTTAAAAATTTTTTTTGTTAGACATTAAGTTGTATGTAACATTACATTTCAGATTAAATGTTTTTATTTTTTATTTGTTTGAGACAGGTTCTTGCTCTGTTGCCCAGGCTGGAGTGCAGTAGCACAATCATGGCTCACTGCAGCCTTGACTTCCTGGGCTCATATGATCCTCCTGCCTCAGCCTCCTGAACAGCTGGGACCCACAGGTGCATACCACCATGCCCAGTTAATTTTTAAATTTTTTGTAGAGACAGGGTCTGGCTCTCTTGACCAGACTGGTCGCGAACTCCCAGACTCAAGTTCGAGACTGTTCTTGAACTCCCACACTCAAGCAGTCCTCCTTCGTCAGCCTCCCAAAGTGCTGAGATTACAGGTGTGAGCCACCACATCCAGCTAAATTTCAGGTTAAATGTGTTTAATAGAAGAATATATTTGGCAGTAGTTTTGTTGCTACTGAATTGATAAAAAGTTTTTTTTGTATTCTAGACAACCAGATGTTCCAATATTTTATTACAGTTGTGCCAACAAAACTACATACATATAAAATATCAGCAGACACCCATCAGTTTTCTGTGACAGAAAGGGTAAGTTGAATCCAACCGGTAAAATAATTTGGTGATTTTTTTAAAAAAGCATTTTAAAGTTTCCTGGCTACAAAATAAGGTGGTGTTTTACTTGGTGTCTTCCCTCATTTAAAAATCTGTGGAAGTTTTGAAATGAATTAACATTTTATTTTAAATCAGAAATATGTCAGAAATGAATATTAGTATATTCTAAAGCAATAAAAGTAGATATTTAAAAAATCTGAAAGGTTTTCTATTGCATTAAGACTTAAAATTGTTAAATTGTGATGGCCTTAATTATTTTATTCTTAATGTCTTAATTTTATAAATGTTTTCTCATAAATTGATATAAGCAGTTCTTGATCTGGCAGCAGATTCTTTGAATTCTGTTACTTATTTATTAATAAATGTACTACCTTCTCTGGGCATACATGGTTATCATGGATTAGATAGCAAATTTAGAGGGTTTGCCTTCCTAAATTAATGCTTTGTATTCATCTGATTGTGATGAAGAACATTCCACTACCTCAGGGTGGTATGGCCATATAAGTAAATACTGACAGTGATGAGCAAAGTTTTGGAATTGGACAGTTTAATAGATTTCTTATCTACTTTGGGGTCATGTTTTCTTATTTTTGTGTTTGAATGGTGAATTCAAACACTTGTATCCAGAAGAATTCTAAGGCAAAATTTAAGTGCTTTAAAAATTTTGCTTTCCTTTATATAGTGTTTTCTTTTACTAGCCTTATAACTCATGATGACCATGCCCTCAATAATTGTGGAATTTTTTTTTTTGTTCTTATGAGATTAGGTATTGGAGTTTTTAGGGGTGAAGTGTCATGTGTCTATAGCTTTTCACTTGGCTTGGGAGAAAGTACAAGTTCATATAACTGCATATATATGTATAGGTATGTGTGTATATACACTCACACAAAGAAACTAGGTAAAGTTTATACCAGAACATATTGTGCTTTTCAACATTTCTTTAAGGAGTAGGGAGATTCCATTTCTCACCTGTAAGATTGGCAAACACCTCAAGGCAATACATACAGTTGAGAAGACTTTGGGGAAAATAGGCAAACATGCAGTGCTATGGGGATGCAAAGTGGCATAATCTTTGAGGAAGGTAGTTTAGCAGTATCTGCAAAAGGACCTATGCATTTATCCTTTGACTCAGCAATTGCACTTCGAGAAAGCTATTCCAAAGATACGGTGGGCAAAAATATAAAAATGTGTGTTTCAGGCTATTCGTTGCATTGTTATCTGTAATAGTAGAAGATTAGAAACAACCCAGATGGTACATCTACACACACTGGAGGAAGATGCAATTGTTAAAAATCAAATGAGAAGGATTTCTATATACTGATAGGAAAATATCTCCAGGGTATATTTTTAAAATAACAAAGCCAAAAATACATATGTAATAGAATCCCAGGGCATTTGACTGTTGAAGGATGTGTTTATACTGATAGGGTGACTAAAATAGTTTTTTAACTTAAAAAAGAATGGAGTAACTGGGGTTGGTAAAATGCAGGATAGGGGGTGGGAGGGAGAGGGCTGACATTCATTAGTCCTGGAACCCAAAGTGAATCATTATTAGTCTTTCATTATGTATATGCCCTGATCCCTAAAACAGTTTCTACCCTTATAGGTAGTGACAATATATTTATAACTCAGCATGATATTGAGCATTTTAGAGCTTTAAGATGTAGTCACTTTATTGGAAACTTGATCAGTTGGCTTATAAGGCTGTATTGTGCTAGTAATAGGGAAAGAGTTTTGTAATGCCCTACGTAAAACTGTTTTAATTTCCCTTGGTAGTAGTTAACCTCATTATTTGTATTCCTAAAGCTTGCAGTTTAGTTATAGCATGAGGAACATGCCATACATATTTGTAAGCTCTTGAGCTCAGTAGAAAACTTGTATCTAAGGTGACCTTTTTGAGAAAAAAAGAATGATTCTGCTCTTTTGATAGTTTCAAAAGCTAACCACACAAAGAATACAAAATAATTTGTCTCTGAAGAGCTTAGTCTAGTAGGACAGTTCATAAGGAAATGTGGATGTCCTTCTTTTACAGTAGGGCTTCAGGGCTTAATATTGAATGTATGTAAGTAACCAGATGACATGAATTCTGTTTCTCTCTTCCTCCTATTTCTCCCCTTCCTTTTGCCTCCCTTTTAGGAACGTATCATTAACCATGCTGCAGGCAGCCATGGAGTCTCTGGGATATTTATGAAATATGATCTCAGTTCTCTTATGGTGACAGTTACTGAGGAGCACATGCCATTCTGGCAGTTTTTTGTAAGACTCTGTGGTATTGTTGGAGGAATCTTTTCAACAACAGGTTAACAACCATTTCCTTTTTGTCTAATTTCTGAAAGTGTTGCTTATACTTAAGTTGCTTCTTCTCAAAGGGGCAAGAAGTATACAGATTTTCATGTTTCGGTGTTTAAATAGCTTTTGCTTTAATTACAAAACTCCAAAATTATATTGACTAACCAGTAAACATAACTAATTTCATTGTATTCAATGATGTAAGGTAGATTATATAATGGTGAGTTGGAAAGATCCTGGGTGTTAACATCAGATTGAAGTAGAATTGAATGTAAGTTCTGTCATTTACTTGGTGGTAGCTTGGAATAGATCACCTACCTTTTCTGAGGTTTTCTAATCAGTAAAAATAGCAATAATAATACCTAATTTGCAAGTGTGCTATAGGATTAAATATGAAAATGCCTAGAAGGCATTTAAGACATTTTTAACTGTACAGTATGTAAAATCATATGTTATAGTACTTTGAATTATGCAATACATGAAACTAGATTTGTAATCAGTAACATGTTTATGATTTTTGTCCTGAGATCCTGGAATTCGCTAAGATTATTTGTCGAATTGTAATGATGAAAATTGGGAGTTAAGTACAATAGAGAAAAAGGAAACAATTCTATTTTCATCTTCAGTCCTTATTCAGTATTAGATGGAGCTGGGTAGTTTATTATACTTAGAATCATATTTTTAAATGAATGAATAGCTTTTCTTTCGAAATTCTTTGTTAGTGCTTCATTTCAATCTATTTAAATTTGTGTTGTTGACATCATTTATTTTCCAAAATTGTATTGGTGTGGGAAAACCTTGAAAAGATTGTGTTTAGGCCCGGTGCAGTGGCTCATGCCTATAATCCCAACACTTTGGGAGGCCAAGGCTGGCGGATCAACTTGAGGCCAGAAGTTCCAGATCAGCCTGGCCAACATGGCTAAACCCCGTCTCTACTGAAAATATAAAAAATTAGCCGGGCATGGTGGTACATGCCTGTAATCCCAGCTAATTGGGAGGCTGAAGCACAAGAATTGCTTGAGCTGGGAGGTGGAGGTTGCAGTGAGCCAAGATTGCACCACTGCACTCCAGCCTGGGCAACAGAGTGAGACGTCTCAAAAAAAAAAAGATTGTGCTGAGATCGTGAATTATGTGGCCTTGTGACTTTGAAAAGAAATCCATTTGTTTTAAAATCTTTCTTGATTATTTTTAACCATGGAAGTGAATAATGCAAACTGCTTTGTTTTCTTCCGTAATCTATTCCATTATAGTTATTTATTCTTAAATAACAGTTTAGGAAATAATTAAAAGCATAAACTTATTGTTTATTACAGGCATGTTACATGGAATTGGAAAATTTATAGTTGAAATAATTTGCTGTCGTTTCAGACTTGGATCCTATAAACCTGTCAATTCTGTAAGTGGTGTAGTATACATGGTGCTGATCTCTAAATCTTAGAATCATTGTTAAGTCTATGAGCCAGTCATGGTGGCTCACACCTGTAATCCCAAGACTTTGGGAGGCTAAGGCGGGAGGATCGCTTGAGCCCAGGAGTTTGAGACCAGTCAAGGCAACATAGTGAGAGCCCCATTTCTACAAAAGATAGAAAAAATTAGCTAGGCAAGGTGGTGCAAGCCTGTAGTCCCAGCTACTTGGGAGGGCACAGTGGGAGGATCACTTGAGCCCAGGAAGTTGAGGTTGTAGTGAGCTATGATCGTACGTACCACTGCACTCCAGCCTGGGTGACAGAGCAGACCCTGCCTCAAAAAAGATAGAGATAGAGAGATAGAGAAATAGGGGGAGAGAGAGAGAGAAATAGTAGCTTTTGGTTACTAGAAAGGATTGCCCAAAATAAAACCTTGTGTTTAGAGGAAAGAGTATAAGGAATAAAACTAATTCTTTGGTCTTTTTTTCCCTCCTTTTCTCCTTAGGTTCCTTTTGAGGATGGCCACACAGACAACCACTTACCTCTTTTAGAAAATAATACACATTAACACCTCCCGATTGAAGGAGAAAAACTTTTTGCCTGAGACATAAAACCTTTTTTTAATAATAAAATATTGTGCAATATATTCAAAGAAAAGAAAACACAAATAAGCAGAAAACATACTTATTTTAAAAAAGAAAAAAAAGGATAAAAAAACCCAAACTGAAATTCTATATACGTTGTGTCTGTTACAAATGTCGTAGAAGAAATCATGCAGCTAAACGATGAAGAAGCCCAACTGGAGTGTTGCTTTGAAGATGACGCCTTCTTATATTTTCATAGCAAATGGGTGGTATCAAAATCAGACATTGCTTCTTGCTGATAAAAAGCCTGAAGGAAATAAGTGAAACTACATCTATGGGAAAAAAAAAAACATTGAGAAGTGCAAATGTTCGCATCCTTTTGTTTTTAAAAGATATGATGTCAGAATAAAATGTGGAAAACATACGGAAAACTAGTCTAGACTTTAAAGAATTGTGATCAGGTCACATTGTTAATAAAAAAAAAAAACGGGCTAGTCCCTATGTTATAGCCATATTAATGTTAAGCCATATTGACAAGACCAGTTATCCAATAATTTGGTCTTAAAAAGTAACTACTTTTCTTTGAACTCTGGTTATTGACTTATCTAACTGTTGAAGATAGAGTCTTAGAAGACTAAGGTAAATTCTCACAGGGGCAGATATGTAGGTGTTATGTAACTAGGGTGTCATTCACAAATGGTATAGTAGAATCTTATACACGGAAAAGAAAGCACATTTTTTTAAAAAAGATGCCAAGTTTTTTAATCTAATCATTATATTATTGGTGTATTTTGGGCAACATAGGGTGAGTTATAAAAAGATCCGCTACTGATAGTGAAAATTACCGGTTTGTAAAACATTAAGAGAAAAAATAGGATATTTTATACATGTGGTGAGTGGAGAACAGGGTAACTTTAAATGAAAGTGTAAGGCAAATTGTAAGCACCACAAGATATATCAGATTTGAGAGGTGCCATGTTAAACATTGTCCATTAAACTATAAAACTGTATTATGAAGTATTTGCATTCAGGGTGTCCTGAATATGATTGATTCTGTATTAGATTGTGTTCTAACTTTCTTACTATTTAAGGATTGGTTCTAAATCTTCACATTATAAAAGATTAAAAACAGTGAGAGGGAGCTATCACACAGGTACTATTAAAAGCTGTATTTGGAATATGTGTACCAATATCAGTTTTCCTTTTGTAGTACTGAATGGCAGTAGAAGAATCAGCAGCCAATCCTCAAAGTTTAAATCATTTAAGGAAATGGGGAAACAAAATTCCAGGTAAATAACAAGACTGAAAAACTAGATTTAAAATAGTGGTTTTAGAAAACAGGATATCACAAGTAACAGTTTTTCAAATGGATTTTTTTAAAGATAAATTTATGAAAACAGGATAAACAATATAATGGAGAGAAGGAGAAATAGTGATGGGTCTGTTTTGCAGTAAAGTTTATGCAGAATGACGTTTTGCAGAAAATAACAGAAGCATCACTTTAAAAAATATATCATTAAGAGCCATGACGTTAACTGATGAAAATAAGTGATATAACATACTTTGAAAGATTTTTAAACAGAAAATTCTGAATCGTGAATGAGCCTTCTCTAGGTTTTAATTTTTTTTCTTCAAATTATTTCCAACAAAGTTTGGCTATAAACTAACACCATCTATCCACAGGAATTTTAATAGGAAAGGATTAGAATTGTAGACTGATTGTTGGTCCTTTAAGTATGCTTGGAAGAAAATTCAATCGAGTTTCAAGGCTTTTTCTAAATGGGAGGGAGAACAATATTGATTTAGGATTATTTTCTTTCATTTAGGATTAGAACAGTTAAGTGCCTTTAAAAAGGACTTTAAAAATTATTTTGATACTTATATATGATTTTTAATTGTTTTCGTATTTTCCAAATACCATATTAAAATTTTAATGAAATTTATCTCCTATGAAAGGAATTTCTTTAAAGCAAAATTCTGCTTTGCCTTTGATTTCCATTTTAAAAGTTAAAGGCTTCCATCTGAAACTCCTCAAATAGAGTCAGATTTTTGGCAATGGAAGTATTAAAATTCCGATCAGCCCTTTGGACGATGAAGTTTACCTGCATATTAGGATTTGTTAGGAGTTTTTGGCCTCACCAAGTGATTCTTTTCTATTGCAGAGAGCACTTTACTCACCTACCTGTTATGCAACTTTCCCTATGCCTGGAGGTGCCTCCAGCCAGGATACCCTACTTTGTTACCCAATTCTCCTTTTTGTTTTACAAGAGTATTCATAATATCTATATGTTTATATTCCAGACTACATATTTAAAAATGAGATCTCAAATTATATGAAATGGATTTTTAAATACTGTGTTTGCATACATTGACCTATAAAGAAGATTAAATATTTAGGTGAATAATTCCCTGCTGCAGTATTTGTACACTTCAGACTACCTCTTAGGAAAAGCTTAACTTAGTATTGCAAAATTCCCTTTCTCTTTTTTTTTTTAAGAGATGGGGTCTCGCACTGTTGCCCAGGCTGAAGTGCAGTGGCATGATTGTAACTCACTGCATCCTCGAACTCCTGGGTTCAAGCAATCCTCCTGCTTCCATCTGCTGAGTAGGTAGGACTACAGCCATGCACCAACAAACCTGGCTAATTCTTTTTCATTTATATAGTTAGTATCTTGCTGTGTTGTTCAAGCTGGACTCCAACTCCCGGACTCAAGTAATCCTCCCACCTTAGTCTCCTGCATTGCTGGAATTATAGGCACGAGCCACTGCACCTGGCACCCAAATTACTTCTAGTTCTCAAGTTAGATGATTAATATCACACTTTTCTCATGTATGTTTTATGATAGCATTGAATTTTTATAATTAAAAATTTACTAATGCAAACAAGATTTACAGTCTTTAATACAATCTTAATTTTGGAATTCATGAAGGAATGACTAAGTTCTAATTTTTTTTTTTTTTTTTTTGAAACTGAGTCTCGCTCTGTCGCCTAGGCTGGAGTGCAGTGGTGCAATCTCAGCTCACTGCAACCTCCGTCTCCCGGGTTCAAGTGATTCTCCTGCCTCAGCCTGTTGAGTAGCTGGGACTACAGGTGCGTACCACCAAGCCCAGCTAATTTTTTTATATTTTTAGTAGAGACGGGGTTTCACTGTGTTAGCCAGGATGGTCTCAATCTCCTGACCTCATGATCCGCCCACCTTGGCCTCCCAAAGTGTTGGGATTACAGGCATGAGCCACTGCCCCTGGACAGATCTAATTTTTTAATAGTGTAAGAGAGATACACTGTGCATTCCATCTATGTCCTGAGTTAGTAATTCAAGTACCAAAAAGTAATTTAATATGAAACTCCTTGAAAATTCAGAGCTTACACTTGAATTCAAAATGCCTATTTTTGATTGTTTAAAAGTTACTTAAACCTGAGCTTTAGGACCTTTAAAATCTCAGCATGCCTTTTAAGCTAGTACTTTTCCTGTTTTGAGCTCTAGCAAACCTTCAGCAAGCCAAGGTGGTAGCCCTTTTTCAACACAATCAAAATAGAGAGGTCACCAGTTGTTTACTACCTTATGGTAAAATGCCCGGATCAAGATCCATGTATCCCCCCCATATTGTGATGATGCAATCAAAGCATAGTTTTTTTCTACTTTCTGAAATATTACTGATGAAATCACTTTACATTTAAGAGGAGAAAACAGACTGCCTTGGATTTTTTTTTTGTCTTGAGAGAAAAAACAAAATATTTAGTATTGCAAGCATAAACATTTGGACTCAATAAATGACAAATTATGAAACTTTTTTTGTCTTTTTAATACTAGGAGAAAATTAAAATCATGTACCCCCAAATAAGCCTCAGTTCCCATATTTAAACTTTTTTCTCATAGGAAAGCTACAGGAATTTTAAGATATCACATGGTTACATTTGCTTTTCTTCCAGATGGAGCTAAATTGCTATATGATACAGGGTTTATTTTATATTTCTCATATTAAAGATGAAAAAGTGAAAATTGAGTAGTTGACTCAAAATTATATGTATATATATATATATGTTAACAGTTGAATACAAACAAGATTACAAGCAGTGAAACATTCAAATAGTTTTGGCAACTCCAAATATTTTGTGTTTCACAAAAGGAGTTAGGTTAACTTTTCCAAATATAACTCATTTTATACTATTTTAATAAGGAGAAACTTAAGGATGAGAAGGCATGAGGAAAAGTATACATTAGTGAAAGCTATATACTAAAGCAGACCTTCAACAACAGCTCATAACTAATAAATGCTTTGTATTTTGTTTTCAAGCAGTTATGTAAATCAATTTGGTGATTTCTTACACTGTACTTACATTTACTTGACCCAAATTGCCGTATCAATCACATCTCCTATCCCTTTTGCAGTTCCAGGTTGGAATCAGTATTTCAAATAAAGTAGGGACACATCTAAAATATTTGTGTATCGGTAAAGGTGTTTCTGGCTATTTAAACTCAAGCATCCTTTGCCACAGTAGTATCTCCGTTTTGCACGGTACTACTGTCTCTCAAACCAGTTACATCTGAAAACCAGCAATTACTAGTCTTAGTTAATTACAAAAAAAAAAAAAAATTAAGCGATCTAGGCAGTGAGCATTTTTCCATACCTTTATGTGGGCATATGAGAATCATTACTTCTTACTATAGGCAGTTGCTTATGTTCCCAGACATTATTAGAATAGCAGTTCTAGAAGAGTAGCCATGTGGAAATTTACAAGTGATTCTTGTAAACTTTGAAAATTATTGATGTTTTTGGAAACTAGGCTGATCTACTTTAATTGTTTATGTTTATTGTAAGATAACATGCTCTTTGGGCATTATTAGACCAGTCTCTACCTTGAGATACTAAGTTAATTACATGAGGTGTTAAATGGAAGTAATGATGTTAGTTGAAAATCGCAAGAAGTGTTTTTCTGAATTGTGTGCCCATTTGCCTTAACTTTTTCTAGTATTAGTTGCCTCAGGCCGTGACTCTTCAACTCTGTAATACTTGATACTGTATCAGGTATCTTGTGGGTAGAGAATATAGGGATTGCCAAAACTTTTGAAACATAGGTACCTTTTCTTTGTACTTTCCATCTTCTTTTCCCCTAAGTAGAAGGTTCTTTCCCATTGCTTTGTTTATATTAGGCATTCAAGTAATTGCTAATTGGTCTTGATGTGAAATAGTTATATGCTAGAGATTTCCCTTCATACAGATACCTGTTTTTACTGCCTAATCATCACAAGAGAACTTTGTGTCATTTATCTGATGCCACAAATAGAAGACTACTCATGTCAAAATAGCCGTATTAATGGTGTTAGAAAAAGTGAAGCATTATGTAGCTAAAGGTTAATTTATATTCATCTGATAGTTATTCCTGTGATGTGATTTGGTGGAAAGAGTTCTTTGGAAGTTATTTCCTTTTTCTGGGGGCTTGGGGGGTGGGGTGCAGGGGGTGTAAAGGAGGGAGAAGTGCTGCGGTAGTCAACGGTTAAAGACAACACTAGAAGAGGGGAATAATTTTAATTCAAATTTTTATTTAATCAAAAGTCAAAATGTGAATACTTGATTAGTGGAATTATTGAATTGGTAAAACATACAATCAAAAGTGAATTCTTAGAACTATTATTATGTCTTAATCCAATCCCACTGAGCTATATCTTGATTTCATATTTTTATCATGTCTATAGCTTGTATCTTAATTGATATAACTCAAAAGTACCATATAGACATCTCAAACTAAAGATCACCAGGTGCTTAGTTTCAGAGCTGGGTTGTCTGCTATGGAAAATATTTCCCAGAATTTAGATGAGATTGGGAAAGATATTGCCCAGAAGAGTTCCTCCAAAATGCCCTTTATATAGAGCTCAGGAGAATCTGGAATAATACTGGGCTAGATACTGCCCTAAGGCCTTGTACACTTAAACTACCACGATGTGCCTTTCTGAATATTACCCAATTACTCCAGGAAGTGAGCATAAATATAACTGCCATTCTTTATTAACATTTTATGCCTATGCCATTTTCAACTAGTTATGCGGTGACTAATTTTAGTTGTTTAGGCCCCAAGTACTATATTTGAATAATATTCCATGTTTTTAACATGAAGAAATGCTGCAATCCAACATGTACTCATCTCTCAAATATGAGGAAAGTTGGTGTAACAGTTACATTATTATTACTATAGGAATTGGAGAATATGTATAGTTTTCATTAGTTTGTATTATACACAAAATTTTTTAAGAAAACAAAACCTATTTTCTAAACTTAGAATCCCTTAGTGAAGTCTATTCACTTTTCTGCTGTGTGTTGTACAGTTAACATTGTGCAATTGGAATGACCAAGATACTAGTAAATCCTTTGGTGATCACATAAGTGTAATCTTCCCCACTTTATACCAGAAGACTAAAGCTACAGTTTAAAAGTTCATTTGAAGTTTTGTTTTGCTCAGTGGCAAAGATCAAATGGGACCATCCCTCTCCCTGTTGACCACTCTAATTGAGTCCTGAGTGGAAAAAGCTTAAATATAAAGGGTTTGGCAACTTTTAGAAGAAGGAGACTCTTGAAAGAAGGTTACCAGGAAAATTGAGGATTAAAAAGATTTAGAAATAATAGCTATCAAATTCGAATTTGAGAATATTAATTTTGACTTAAAAGCATAATACACGAGTCCCCAATGCAAATATGCTTAATCCCTCACTCTATACATACTTATTTACACTTCTTGTTCCTTTTTAAGAAGTGAATGTAGTTAAGAAAAATGTTAAATGTAAACCTACTTTTCTGATTCCCCCACCCCTCAACCAGGACTCCAGGGTATAACATAGAAAGAAAGAGAGACATTTTCAGTGGGGAATTACTTCTCTTACTGCATTTTTGAGGATATTGAGACCATTCTCCTTTTACTCATCTTGATTTTAAATTTTTCTTTTGGGTACCCAGAATGGTTCCAAGGTTAGTACTGCTTGAGCTCATTTCAGCTTCTGCCATGCATCTTTCCATATTTACTGAGTTTAAATGAATCATCTCAGAGAGAAAAGAAAAACTAAATATAGAAAAGTGGGAGTACTTTCACGTTTAATACGCAAGGGCATAAAATAGAATGTTAGGAAACAATTTGGATTTTTTTCCCTAAAATATAGGTGACTATGGGCTAGTTTACAACTTTCCTTCTCTCACTGAAATAAAAATACATAGTTAAGGAATAGGGACGAATACATAACAGGTGACATTTGACAGTTTGGGCATATTCCTTGTTACTTTCTAATCTTGAGAATCACAGTTTGCTGTTTTAGAGGTATCTGAGAGGTTCCAGATAAAAAGCGATGGCTAAATGCTCTTAAACTTTGAGCGTGCTGGATGCTCTAAAGTAGGAGAGGAATTTATAACAGAAGCTTACAATGAAGAACCAGACATTCCGAGCCATCTGAGATCTTGCAATGAGAAGGCGCCAGGCGATAAGGAAGAGGGCAGTATTAAAGAGGTAGTGAATATTTCGGAGCCTAGGGAACAGACAGACATAACCAAAGTTAAAACTACCAGATACCCAACCACATTATCTGAAGATAAATATGTGTTTTCCTGGATATGACTGGCAAGTATTTATGAAGTGCTCAGAGTATTTGATATAACTTGGCCAATTGGTTTCTGCGTCTTTCATTTCCACAGCATTCTTGCTGAATAGTCAGATTTCTACCATATTTCCCTAATTTCTCTTATACCTCTCTCCACTTGAAACTATTTACAAGCATGACTAGCATAATCTTGTAAATATACTTTGGTCATGTTACCACATCATAAATCTTCACTGGTTCTTGTTCATTAGAAGGTAAATTCTAAAGTTCTTGGCTTGCTATTCAAGGTTCCTCCTTCCTGTTTTGCAAGCTACTTTTTTATCCTTATCATCTCTGCACTACAGATCCTCTGCTTCTACCAGGATTATACCAGAGTGCTAGAATTCCTTGTCCCTCAGGGATTACGACTGAAAGAAATTTAAGAAAGTTGAAAAAATTGAGGAGTGACTTTTTTCTAGGTTAAATAGCATAATCAGGTCTCCTGCCTGTTGGGTATTTATATCCCATTATGACAGAGTGTGGTAGAAGAAACAAATTTGGGTTCAAATCTGGCTCTTAGACTTACTATGCAATTACCATGGGCAAGTTATTTGCTGTGTTTAAATCTAGATATCTGCCTCATAAAAATGGGGTAACAAAAGTAATACTTGCCTCATAGAGGTGTGGTGAAGTCTAAATGAAACTGTGTTACAGGGTAGAGTATGGAGTGCAGGACCTGTAATGTAGTAAATGCTCAAGAAATGTTCATTCTCCTCTGCACAAATGTTATGTCTGGTATAAAGTCGATGCACAGTAGGTGCTCAATAAATATTAACTGACTGATTATACTTACCTTTTTAAGCGTTGCTTTGCTTTTGGGATCCCAGCCATATCCTCTTTCAATAAGTATTTTTTAACTCCCAAAACATAATTTTCAATGTATTCCAACCAGTTCAACTGGCGCACGTCAAAGTTGAATACCTGAGAGGCAAGAGAGATTATAGATTGCCAGAATTGCAGTGCTGGACAGTCACTTTGTCCACTTGAGGTTTCTTCTACATAGACGAGTGACCTTCAATTTGGGAGACATAGGTTGGACCCTCTCCAAAGGAGAGATTATTTGAGTCATTATTTCAAAGGTACTGATAATATGGATTACTATTTACATAGGAATATTTAAACATGGATCAAACACAAACACTTCACATTTCTTGTGAGGGAGATTTAAAGGAAATAGTATTACATAGTCTGGTGAAAACTTATGGTTGGCTTGGTATATATTTCAGCTAACCGAGGAGTAATTATTTTTAAAAGTGATAGAATAATATGTTAGTGACCAAAACATAAATGATGCAACTTTCCCTTTCCTCTTAAATTTTGGTGTTATCCCTTTGTTCTACCATCCTTTCCTACAGCATTACCATTTCATTATGCAGATTAAACTTTGGGAAGCAAAGCCTTAAGGAATAAGTTACCAGAATTTATATTTAAGAAGAGAGTGATTGGTAGTGAAAGAAAAAAGGAGTGATCACAACATGGGGGAGGAGTAGGGAAGAAGGAGAAGGAAGAGATTGATCTGTTTAGGGAGAGAAGTTGTGCCACATAGAAGACAGATACAGAGAGTGACAATAAAGAAAAATGATTAAAAAATTTTTAAGGTATCTTTGAGGAAGAGAAAAGAAAAACACTTGCATAACCAAAAATGTATTCTTTTTTTGGTTTGTTATGGAAAAGCTGGAGTAAAGATTTGAATTGCATTCCATAGATTTTATTTTTTGTGTACTTTGAAAATGATGCTGAGCTGACACAGGATCAGGAGGTGGCCCAGATTTATATGGATTACAAATGGAGATAGGATGAGTTAGGAAGAGAAACCTGATAGGTCATTCTTGAGCCATCCAGGGATCTTTTCAAAATCTCCATATAAAGGGCCTAATTGGAGAAAGAAAGGGAGGGAAATGATCTTCAAATATATTAGAAAAAATAGTTTTGATTGAATATAAAGAACTTAGGGCACTAAAACTTGTTAGTAGAAAGAGTGTCAAGAAGATTCTGGTATCATCTCTGGAAATATTTCAAGTATTAGGTATTCTTGGAGAGTTTGGTATGACCCTGTTATCAAATAAAAGATTGCATCAGTGAGTGGATTTGGTTCAATAGAGTTTTATTTCATGTATTTGGAGAGAATGGCCTGGAAAATGGACTTGTGCTAGCATTTAAAAAGTCTAATATTTATAAATCTTAGCAAGTGGAGGGTGTGTTTAAGGTGCTTTTGTCCTTCCAATTGGGCACTCTTCTCTCTCCTTGGACATACAGCACTCTCAGATCACTTTTTGTCTATTCATCCCTGGACATTAAAAAAAAAAAAAAGCCTATCTTTAGTGGAGAGTTTCACGTACAGTGAAAGAAAGTTGCTCGTTACTCTTAACTTACTTAACTTCTGGTGAGGCCTCACTAGGAAGGACTTTAATAGCTAAAATGGCTTAATTCAAATAAATGATATTCCTAGAACAACAAGAATGATGTTCCTTTGAATGGCACAAAGTAGACATTCAATAAATACTTGCTATTAATGAATTATAGAATTTAGGTCAAATTAATTTAAATATTAATTTTGAACACCAAAAGTGTTTCTTTTTTGTTACACAACAATTTATTCTATTTAGTCTGTATATAAGCTTTACATGAATATGACCAAAGTAAACTCTTAGTTTCCTTTTTTCAGACAATCAGTCTTTGATCGAGGCTTAGATGGTACCAAATAAAAGGCATATATTATCAAAACCAAAAAGCCAATCACCACTAAAGGTCAAGTTTGTTAACTTTAAAATGGCTACACGATTTTCTGAGAATCTCTTGGGTTTAATTCATAAATTGCATCTTTCCTCCAGAGTCTATATTTAGCTCTTTTTCTCTTCAGGAAATATTACACTTCTAAAGAATGTAATTGAATTTGACATCTTAAAGATTTAGTAGTTCTCTAAGGCTACTCGATTCTTTCTCCTTTATATGCAAATTAAATGTTATATTTTAATCACAGAAAACCATCTTAGAACTCGGAGGAAAGTAACTAAATATTATTATCCCTATTTAACATTCTAGGCATTCAGTAAACATTTAATAATGAGCCCTTTGCTGATTCATTGTGCATATTGCTTTTGCTTTATCCTCTCAACTTGCATGGAGAAACATGACAAGAAATAACTTTTTAAAAATCATAAATGGGCCAGGCGTGGTGGCTCATGCCTGTAATCTCAACACTTTGGGAGGTCGAGGCGGGCAGATCACCTGAGGTCAGGAGTTCAAGACCCGCCTGACCAATATCGTGATACCCCGTCTGTACTAAAAATACAAAAATTAGCCAGGCGTCGTGGCATGCGCCTGTAGTCGCAGCTACTTGGGAGGTTGAGACAGGAGACGCGCTTGAACCCGGGAGGCGGAGGTTGCAGTGAGCCAAGATCTTGCCACTGCACTCCAGCCTGGGCAACAGAGCAAGACATGGTCTCAAAAAAAAAAAAAAAAAAGTCATAAATGTATTTGCTTTAGATAACTTTTTCTAATTCATTCTTCCTTTTGAACAACGAGTCCTATGAAACTATATTTTCCTTTTCACTTTACTACCAGAAAGCTCAAGAACAAATTCACTGCTTAAATTAACTACAGCAACTTAGTAGGATCTTGTAGATTATGTATGGGCATTCTCTTTTTAAATTTTTAGCTGTGACTTCATATTCTGATTCATATTTTCCTTGGTTTTGCATTTTATTTTATTTCTATTTTGTTCTTTCATTATATGTATTTTTTTGCAAGATACCTCAAACCTTTGTGAGATTTGGAGTATTAATAAAGAGAGCAGATGCGATTGTTCCAGAGAGCTTCAAAGACTTGTCCAAAAGCTGAATTGCTTTTTGAAAGAAATTCCATTATCACTTTGATTGGATATGGTTTTCATAGTATCATTAATATTGCTTAGTCATTCATATAAGCAGAGGCTTTTATTTTTATAGTGTTTAACATTTCTAAGTTTGATTTCAAAGTGGCCCTGTTCAGAATCCTGATTCCATATGGCAATTCAAACTGAATTTTGAGCCACACCAGAATTTGGTAATTACATTTAGTACTATTACTTTTGCTAAGATATTTTTGAGAGCATATGTTAAATCCACTGAAGCTTTGATTCTTTTTCATAAAATTTTGAAAGGTTAAAATAGTAAAATGTCAGAAATGAAACCAAGCTCATTACCTTTTGAGTTATTTCGGCAGGAAAATTCCATGGAGAAAATACATAAGGATAAGCCTACATAGAGTTTAAAGCTAAATTTTAAAAGAACTTACAATAGCTTGAATTTGTTGATTTGTTTTTGATTTATAAACTGGCTTAATCATCATTTCAAACACTAGTTTGAAGAATTTTGTCTATATGTGATATGTAAACATTTCTGAATAACTATTTCATGTCACTTTGAGAGGGAGCAATGATTTCAGATAAAATATCCCTCTAAATCTTGCCTTTTGTGCCTAATATAATATTTATTGTATTTGACATGGATAATGCTTAGGAAATAATTCTAGGGCTTGGATTTGAATCACACTCAGTAAGTTTGGTATGTAGAAGTGAAACCCTTAGCTGGCAAGCAAGGTCAGTTAGCCATCTGATATATTGTTTTTTTTTCTTTTTTTTAATTATTATTATATTTTAAGTTTTAGGATACGTGTGCATAACGTGCAGGCTTGTTACATATGTATACATGTGCCATGTTGGTGTGCTGCACGCATTAACTC
The DNA here is from genome assembly GCF_000001405.40 of Homo sapiens. NCBI lineage: Eukaryota > Metazoa > Chordata > Mammalia > Primates > Hominidae > Homo > Homo sapiens. The sequence goes on along the minus strand of NC_000012.12, from coordinate 29,328,798 downwards.
GTCATTTAGCATTACGTATATCTCCTAATGCTATCCCTCCCCCCTCCCCCCACTCCACAACAGGCCCCGGTGTGTGATGTTCCCCTTCCTGTGTCCATGTGTTCTCATTGTTCAATTCCCACCTATGAGTGAGAACATGCGGTGTTTGGTTTTTTGTCCTTGCGATAGTTTGCTGAGAATGATGGTTTCCAGCTTCATCCATGTCCCTACAAAGGACATGAACTCATTTTTTATGGTTGCATAGTATTCCATGGTGTATATGTGCCACATTTTCTTTATCCAGTCCATCATTGTTGGACATTTGGGTTGGTTCCAAGTCTTTGCCATTGTGACTAGTGCCACAATAAACATATGTCTTTATAGCAGCATGATTTATAATCCTTTGGGTATATACCCAGTAATGGGATGGCTGGGTCAAATGGTATTTCTAGCTCTAGATCCCTGAGGAATCGCCACACCAACTTCCACAATGGTTGAACTAGTTTACAGTCCCACCAACAGTGTAAAAGTGTTCCTATTTCTCCACATCCTCTCCAGCATCTGTTGTTTCCTGACTTTTTAATGATTGCCATTCTAACTGGTGTGAGATGGTATCTCATTGTGGTTTTGATTTGCATTTCTCTGATGGCCAGTGATGATGAGCATTTTTTCATGTGTTTTTTGGCTGCATAAATGTCTTCTTTTGAGAAGTGTCTGTTCATATCCTTAGCCCACTTTTTGATGGGGTTGTTTGTTTTTTTCTTGTAAATTTGTTTGAGTTCATTGTAGATTCTGGATATTAGCCCTTTGTCAGATGAGTAGGTTGCAAAAATTTTCTCCCATTCTGTAGGTTGCCTGTTTACTCTGATGGTGGTTTCTTTTGCTGTGCAGAAGCTCTTTAGTTTAATTAGATCCCATTTGTCAATTTTGGCTTTTGTTGCCATTGCTTTTGGTGTTTTAGACATGAAGTCCTTCCCCATGCCTGTGTCCTGAATGGTATTGCCTAGGTTTTCTTCTAGGGTTTTTATGGTTTTAGGTCTAACGTGTAAGTCTTTAATCCATCTTGAATTGATTTTTGTATAAGGTGTAAGGAAGGGATCCAGTTTCAGCTTTCTCCATATGGCTAGCCAGTTTTCCCAGCACCATTTATTAAATAGGGAATCCTTTCCCCATTTCTTGTTTTTGTCAGGTTTGTCAAAGATCAGATAGTTGTAGATATGCAGCATTGTTTCTGAGGGCTCTGTTCTGTTCCATTGGTCTCTATCTCTGTTTTGGTGCCAGTACCATGCTGTTTTGGTTACTGTAGCCTTGTAGTATAGTTTGAAGTCAGGTAGCCTGATGCCTCCAGTTTTGTTCTTTTGGTTTAGGATTGACTTGGCAATGCGGGCTCTTTTTTGGTTCCATATGAACTTTAAAGTAGTTTTTTCCAATTCTGTGAAGAAAGTCTTTGGTAGCTTGATGGGGATGGCATTGAATCTATAAATTACCTTGGGCAGTATGGCCATTTTCACGATATTGATTCTTCCTACCCATGAGCATGGAATGTTCTTCCATTTGTTTGTATCTTCTTTTATTTCATTGAGCAGTGGTTTGTAGTTTTCCTTGAAGAGGTCCTTCATATCCCTTGTAAGTTGGATTCCTAGGTATTTTATTCTCTTTGTAGCAATTATGAATGGGTGTTTACTCATGATTTGGCTCTCCATTTGTCTGTCATTGGTGTATAGGTATACTTGTGATTTTTGCACATTGAGTTTTTATCCTGAGACTTTGCTGAAGTTGCTTATCAGCTTAAGGAGATTTTGGGCTGAGATGATGGGGTTTTCTAGATAAACAATCATGTCATCTGCAAACAGGGACAATTTGACTTCCTCTTTTCCTAATTGAATGCCCTTTATTTCCTTCTCCTGCCTGATTGCCCTGGCCAGAACTTCCAACACTATGTTGAATAGGAGTGGTGAGAGAGGGCATCCCTGTCTTGTGCCAGTTTTCAAAGGGAATGCTTCCAGTTTTTGTCCATTCAGTATGATATTGGCTGTGGGTTTTTCATAGATAGCTCTTATTATTTTGAGATACGTCCCATCAATACCTAATTTATTGAGAGTTTTTAGCATGAAGTGTTGTTGAATTTTGTCAAAGGCCTTTTCTCCGTCTATTGAGCTAATCATGTGGTTTATGTCTTTGGTTCAGTTTATATGCAGGATTACGTTTATTGATTTTCATATGTTGAACCAGCCTTGCATCCCAGGGATGAAGCCCACTTGATCATGGTGGATAAGCTTTTTGATGTGTTGCTGGATTTGGTTTGCCAGTATTTTATTGAGGATTTTTGCATCAATGTTCATCAAGGATATTGGTCTAAAATTCTCTTTTTTTGTTGTGTCTCTGCCAGGCTTTGGTATCAGGATGATGCTGGCCTCATAAAATGAGTTAGGGAGGATTCCCTCTTTTTCTATTGATTGGAATAGTTTCAGAAGGAATGGTACCAGGTCCTCCTCGTAACTCTGGTAGAATTCGGCTGTGAATCCATCTGGTCCTGGACTTTTTTTGGTTGGTAAGCTATTAATTATTGCCTCAATTTCAGAGCCTGTTATTGGTCTATTCAGAGATTCAGCTTCTTCCTGGTTTAGTCTTGGGAGGGTGTATGTGTCGAGGAATTTATCCATTTCTTCTAGATTTTCTAGTTTATTTGCATAGAGGTGTTTATAGTATTCTCTGATGGTAGTTTGTATTTCTGTGGGATCGGTGGTGATATCCCCTTTGTCATTTTTTATTGCGTCTATTTGATTCTTCTCTCTTTTCTTCTTTATTAGTCTTGCTAGCAGTCTATCAATTTTGTTGATCTTTTCAAAAAACCAGCTCCTGGATTCACTGATTTTTTGAAGGGTTTTTTTGGGTCTCTATTTCCTTCAGTTCTGCTCTGCTCTTAGTTGTTTCTTGCCTTCTGCTAGCTTTTGAATGTGTTTGCTCTTGCTTCTCTAGTTCTTTTAATTGTGATGTTAGGGTGTCAATTTTAGATCTTTCTTGCTTTCTCTTGTGGGCATTTAGTGCTATAAATTTCCCTCTACACACTGCTTTGAATGTGTCCCAGAAATTCTGGTATGTTGTGTCTTTGTTCTCGTTGGTTTCAAAGAATGTCTTTATTTCTGCCTTCATTTCGTTATGTACCCAGTAGTCACTGAGGAGCAGGTTGTTCAGTTCCCATGTAGTTGAGTGGTTTTGAGTGAGTTTCCTAATCCTGAGTTCTAGTTTGATTGCACTATGGTCTGAGAGACAGTTCATTATAATTTCTGTTCTTTTACATTTGCTGAGGAGTGTTTTACTTCCAACTATGTGGTCAATTTTGGAATAGGTGTGGTGTGGTGCTGGAAATAATGTATATTCTGTTGATTTGGGGTGGAGAGTTCTGTAGATGTCTATTAGGTCTGCTTGGTGCAGAGCTGAGTTCAATTCCTGGATATCCTTGTTAACTTTCTGTGTCATTGATCTGTCTAATGTTGACAGTGGGGTGTTAAAGTCCCCCATTATTATTGTATGGGAGTCTAAGTCTCTTTGTAGGTCACTAAGGGCTTGCTTTATGAATCTGGGTGCTCCTGTATTGGGTGCATATATATTTAGGATAGTTAGCTCTTCTTGCTGAATTGATCCCTTTACCATTATGTAATGGCCTTCTTTGTCTCTTTTGATCTTTGTTGGTTTAAAGTCTGTTTTATCAGAGACTAGGATTGCAACCCCTGCCTTTTTTTGTTTTCCATTTGCTTGGTAGATCTTCCTCCATCCCTTTATTTTGAGCCTATGTGTGTCTCTGCACATGAGATGGGTTTCCTGAATACAGCACACTGATGGTTCTTGACTCTTTATCCAATTTGCCAGTCTGTGCCTTTTAATTGGAGCATTTAGCCCATTTACATTTAAGGTTAGTATTGTTATGTGTGAATTTGAGCCTGTCATCATGATGTTAGCTGGTTATTTTGCTCGTTAGTTGATGCAGTTTCTTCCTAGCCTTGATGATCCTTACAATTTGGCATGTTTTTGCAGTGGCTGGTATCAGTTGTTCCTTTCCATGTTTAGTGCTTCCTTCAGGAGCTCTTTTAGGGCAGGCCTGGTGGTGACAAAATCTCTCAGCATTTGCTTGTCTGTAAAGTATTTTATTTCTCCTTCACTTATGAAGCTTAGTTTGGCTGGATATGAAATTCTGGGTTGAAAATTCTTTTCTTTAAGAATGTTGAATGTCGGCCCCCACTCTCTTCTGGCTTGTAGAGTTTCTGCCGAGAGATCATCTGTTAGTCTGATGGGCTTCCCTTTGTGGGTAACCCGACCTTTCTCTCTGGCTGCTCTTAACACTTTTTTCCTTCATTTCAACTTTGGTGAATCTGACAATTATGTGTTTTGGAGTTGCTCTTCTCGAGGAGTATCTTTGTGGCATTCTCTGTATTTCCTGAATTTGAATGTTGGCCTGCCTTGCTAGATTGGGGAAGTTCTCCTGGATAATACCCTGCAGAGTGTTTTCCATCTTGGTTCCATTCTCCCCGTCACTTTCAGGTACACCAATCAGACGTAGATTTGGTCTTTTCACATAGTCCCATATTTCTTGGAGGCTTTGGTCGTTTCTTTTTATTCTTTTTTCTCTAAACTTCTCTTCACGCTTCATTTCATTCATTTCGTCTTCCATCGCTGACACCCTTTCTTCCAGTTGATCGCATCGGTTACTGAGGCTTGTGCATTCGTCACGTAGTTCTCGAGCCTTGGCTTTCAGCTCCATCAGCTCCTTTAAGGACTTGTCTGCATTGGGTATTCTAGTTATCCATTCGTCTAATTTTTTTTTCAAAGTTTTTAACTTCTTTGCCATTGGTTCGAACTTCCTCCTTTAGCTCAGAGTAATTTGATCTTCTGAAGCCTTCCTCTCTCAACTCGTCAAAGTCATTCTCTGTCCAGCTTTGTTCCGTTGCCGGTGAGGAGCTGCGTTCCTTTGGAGGAAGAGAGGCACTCTGATTTTTAGCGTTTCCGGTTTTTCTACTCTGTTTTTTCCCCATCTTTGTGGTTTTATCTACCTTTGGTCTTTGATGATGGTGACATACAGATGGGTTTTTGGTGTGGATGTCCTTTCTGTTTGTTAGTTTTCCTTCTAACAGTCAGGACCCTCAGCTGCAGGTCTGTTGGAGTTTACTGGAGGTCCACTCCAGACCCTGTTTGCCTGGGTATCAGCAGCGGTGGCTGCAGAACAGCGGATATTGGTGAACCGTAAATTCTGCTGCCTGATCATTCCTCTGGAAGTTTTGTCTCAGAGGAGTACCTGGCCGTGTGATGTGTCAGTCCGCCCCTACTGGGGGGTGCCTCCCAGTTAGGCTACTTGGGGGTCAGGGACCCACTTGAGGAGGCAGTCTGCCCATTCTCAGATCTCAAGCTGCGTGCTGGAGGAACCACTACTCTCTTCAAAGCTGTCAGACAGGGACATTTAAGACTGCAGAGGTTATTGCTGTCTTTTGTTTGTCTGTGCCCTGCCCCCAGAGGTGGAGCCTACAGAGGCAGGCGGGCCTCCTTGATCTGTGGTGGGCTCCACCCAGTTTGAGCTTCCAGGCCGCTTTGTTTACCTACTCAGGCCTGAGCAATGGCGGGCGTGCCTCCCCCAGCCTCACTGCTGCCTTGCAGTTTGATCTCAGACTGCTGTGCTAGCAATGAGTGAGGCTCCATGGGCATAGGACCCTCCAAGCCATGTGCTCCCGCACATGGTGTGCCATTTGTTAAGCCCGTTGGAAGAGCGAATAGGAACAGCTCCAGTCTACAGCTACCAGCGTGAGCGACGCAGAAGACGGGTGATTTCTGCATTTCCAACTGAGGTACCGGGTTCATCTCACTGGGGAGTGCCGGACAGTGGGTGCAGGACAGTGGGTGAAGTGCACCGTGCGTGAGCCGAAGCAGGGCAAGGCGTCGCCTCACCCAGGAAGTGCAAGGGGTCAGGGAATTCCCTTTCCTAGTCAAAGAAAGGGGTGACAGATGACACCTGGAAAATACAGCCATCTGATATTTACTCCCCAGTGTGACTTGGTTTCTTCTACATGCTGTCAGGTACAAAATAAAACAAAAGATACATTTTAGAAAATTGTTTCTTAGTGGGAAATGTCAATCAATATGGAGTGAAAACCTTAAAATTTAGTTAAAAACGGGATACATGACTGAGAAAAAGGCTAGGAACATGTATAATATACAAAAGAATTTCAGAATATGCAAAGATTTTAGGACTTATCCTTTGTGACTGCCAAGAAGTTAAAGAAATAAGTGGTGCTGGTGCTAAGGAATTAAACTGAAGACCTGTCTTGAGAAATGAAAGTCTGAACTGTTGTAGAGAAATCCTATAGAGAGGGAGATCGACGATGCAGCACTGATGAAGGGAGGTCTGAGGTGAGGCAGAGTGCATAGGTGTAGGGATTAGCTTTAACAAGGTAAGGAAGGAACTGTAGCTGGGAGAGGCAGAACAATTTTGATTGGACAAGAATAGTGGATGATTGAGTTTATAAGCAATAAAATCATTATTTTTCATTGAAGTCATATGCTGTGGCAGATAAGGGAAGAACACAGCCACCCAGAGGTACTGAGGGTTTGTAGAAATGATAACTATCAAGGAGTGACAAAACGATTGAAGTGCAGTAGATAAAACATGTTGGCAGATCAGCAGTTAAAGATTTAACCAAAGTCCAAGAACCTACATTTCTTACTTACATTAAACTTGTTTCCTACGGTGGTGTTGATAGCATTGACTGATTTTCTTAGAAAAACAAAGCAAAACAAAATCTGTGTCTATAACCAAACGTCTTATTCATTCATCAGCTTTCCAAATCAAATAATTCTAAATTCCAAGTGAGTAGCATTTTCCTGGTGCTTAAGTCAGTGCTCTACTTACTCTCTGGTCTTCAGGACTCAGCTCAGACATCAGCATTTCTGTATTGTACGTGCTCCATTCCCAACTCCGGTTGATGAAATACTCCAACATGGAAACAGTTCTTAAAAGCCGATTCATGAGCTTTGTCATCCTGAGATAACCATCAGATAGGAGTAAATATCAGCGCACCACTTCCCTGTCACTCTACAGGGATGTATGAGAAATTATTTTTAAGAAAATACAAAAATTATCCCTGTCTACCACTCCTCATTAAAATTCTTCTTCTTTTTTCTCCTTCCACATTAACTCTCTATTCATTCAACAGAAAAAGAAAAGGGCTGGATCTAAAGGAGCTTGTTCTGTTAGGCATTTAATACCAGACTCCTTTTCTAACACCTATTTCTCAAGAATAGCAAACCTATTTTAAAAGTGAGCCAACTATTCAGCTTGAATGACATACTGTTCATTTTTTGAATTCTGATGTAGACAATTAGAAAACTTTCTCATCTTTCTTTTTGAGACAGGGTCTTACTCTGTCACCCAGGCTGGAGCGCAGTGGGGCCCAGCTAATTTTTTGTATATTTTGTAGATAGGGTTTTGCCATGTTGCCCAGGCTGGTCTTGAACTCCTGGGCTCAAGGGAGCCAGCTGCCTTGGCCTCCCAAAGTGTTGGGATTGCAGGCATGAGCCACTGCACCTGGCCTTATTTCTCATTTTTATTGTACTTTCTTGTATTTTAAGAAGTTGATAGGATCTGAGGTCTTAGTATGTAACTTTTGGGCAGAAGTGTTGACTGTATTAGTGTTTGTTGAATCAAAAGCAGTTGTCAATCATAGTGGAGATTAAAAAAAAAAAAAACTTCTTGTTGATAACCTATTCTGTGTTAGGCACAGTCCTGATACTTTCACAAAGTATTCTCTCTGCTAATTTTGATATCATCTTTGTTAGGTAAGTCTGCAGTTTTACAAATGAGTAACATAAGCTTAAGATAAAAAGTGTCAAAGTCAAATTCCAACCCAGTTTTAACTGACCTCAAAAAACCTGCGCTGTGTAATCTCACTACCCTGTGTCCCATTACACAAGATGAACCACACTGTCCAATCTTGTGGTCAGGACTTGGACCAGATCTTCTTTGTGCACCTCCCAACTTTATAACAATTTACAAAAAACTTTCATATACAATCTTACTTGATCCTAACAATATGGCTGTAAGATAGTCAGGATGTATATTATGTATCTCCATTTTACAGAGAGATTATGCTCAAGGTCCCATAGCTAATCCCCAACCTAGGTCTTTTAGCTACAAGTCACTTTTGGCCTGTAAAGCACTTGATTTGTAGTTAACCAGTCTTGGCAGTAGTGATTACTATAGTTGGCTCAGTAATTATGATGCTATTGTGGGGATTTGGTCTTACTTCTGGTCAAAGTTAATGCCCATGTACTTAATGACTCATGAGGTATTTCTCTTACTGTATCATAGGAAATTTCTTAGGCATGAGGTAGACATCATTGTGCCTGATATAAGCACCATAATAGGGTTCCACTTTACTATTATCTAAATCTTTAGTCATTCTCCAACTCTGATGCAATTGATATGATTTCAATACATTTATTTTAATTGTTAAAAATAACGGTTGGACATGATATCATTGGATGTACAGAACTATATCAACCTAATGATATGTTTTAGAAAATATACTTGTATTACTCCCAGATAGAGAAGGTCTTTATTGTTTGTCTGAGACAGGGTCTCGCTTTATTGCCCAGGCTGTAGTGCAGTGGCTCAATCATGACTCACTGCAGCCTTGACCTCCTGGGTTCAAGCAATCTTCTGCCTCAGACTCCTGAGTAGCTGGGACTACAGGCACATGCCACCATGCCTGGACAACGTTTTTAAATTTTATTTTTGTAGTGATGGGGTCTCACTATGTTGCCTAGTCTGGTCTTGAAGTCCTGGGCTTAAGTGATACTCCTTCCTCAGCCTCCAAAATTGCTGGGGTTACAGGTGTGAGCCACCACACCCAGCCAAGAAGGTCTTCTTAATACCCAAAATGCAAAAGCTGAAGGAAAACAATGATTGATTCATTTTACCACATAAAAATTTTAAACATCTTTAGTATTAATAGGGATTATTATATTCTAAGCACTCATATTAAACTATATAAAATAGGTTACGATTACTGTGCCCATTTTACAGAATAGGAAGTTAGGATTTAGAGAGATGAAGTAATTTAGGGCTCTAATGGCTAAATTGGTGAAGCCAGGATTTAAATCCTATAAGCCTGACTCCAAACTCCATGTTCCTAAGCCCTGCATTATATGTATCTTCACTCATATTACAAAAAGCTTTATAGTCAAAGCTAAAAAGAAACAGACCTGGAGAAAATATATGAAATATGTATTCACACACACATGTTCCCATACATTAATAAGGACAACCCAATAGGAAAATAGGGAGCAGAAGCAGGCAGCACACAGAGGGGAAAACTTAAATGTCCAATAAATGAATGAAAGTCCAGCCCCTCCAGCAATCATGAATGCAAATCAAAAAAACAAAAAGATGTCATTCCTTATGAGTTTGACAATTCAGAAGTTGATTTTTACAAAGTATTCTTACCCCCATTAAGAGGGTAAGACATACTGTTTTGTACCCCTTGGCCGGGCGCGGTGGCTCATGCCTGTAATCCCAGCACTTTGGGAGGCCGAGGCGGGTGACTTGCTTGAGGTCAGGAGTTCGAGACCAGCCTGGTCAAGATCGTGAAACCCCATCTCTGCTAAAAATACAAAAATTAGCCAGGCACAGTGGCGGGCGCCTGTAATCCCAGCTACTCGAGAGGCTGAGGCAGGAGAATCGCTTGAACCCAGGAGGCAGAGGTTGCAGTGCGCTGAGATCTCGCCACTGCACTCTAGCCTAGGTGACAAAGCAAGACTCCATCTCAAAAAAAAAAGAAAAAAGAAAAAGAAAAAAAAAAGACTTTTGTACCCTTCATACACTGTTGTGGTAGTGCCAATTGACAGTCTCTTCCTTAGGGAGGGTCACCTGGCACTAGTCACAAACTCCACATACTCTTCAATCCAGCAGTCTCCCTCCTCAGCATCCTCTCCTGACACAGGCACATTCTACAAAGAGGCATGCACACTGATATTCATTGCCCTATTTGCAGTAGAAAAAAAAGACAACACCGGGCAGAATGACTTAGATTTTCATGGAAAATTAGTGGAAAAAGTTGTAAAATATGTACAATTGATTTATATACACACATACCCCCCTACTGCAAAGCAAACTATGTACGTCCATATATGGATGTAAAAGCATAGGAGAGTATACACAAGCACACCTGGAGCAGGAAAGGGTCTAGAAGGATTTCAGCTTTTTCTGCCATAAAGATTATTGCTAAAATACATACCACACAACAAACCAACCCATTTCCCACAAATATTACTGTTTGACTTCTCACAAGATACATATAGATTTTTATTGTGTCTCTTCCTTCTGTGTTTCTCTTTTTTCCTAACTGAACTTTGTTCTTTATGCAGGCCCTCTTCCAATCCTGATATATTTTAAAACCTTTAGCATTTCTGCCTACAATATTTGGGTTTTCTTCTTTTCCTGTCTTTATTTAATAAGCCCCATACAAATATTTTCCCCATAATCACAATGTTTCCTTTTCACCTTGCTCAAGAACTGAGTTATGAGCTCCAAATGAGGTCTTTAAAAATTTAGATAAACTCTACATTGGCTAAGTTTTAGTCATTTGCACTGCTAATAAAGATGACAAACACGCTGAAGAAGACTTCCTCCCTTATAAAGGGGCTAGCACAGAAGGCAATACTGTTCATACTTCTGATTCTTGATCACGAGAATTGCCTTAGGCAATTATAACAATGACTCCTCTGACACATAATATTATTCAAGCGAGACAGATAAAGGCGTATGTCCTGTGTCACACAGCTAGGTGGTGACAGCTGCCTTAGCATCAGCACACTGTGTTCCCTCTAATTTCTTCACTCATCTCTAGGTGGCAGTAAATCTGGTTCCGAATACTGACTTTGAGACTCGGCTTTCTCCACATCCTTCCTGTCACTTCCTTTGAGACTAATTCAGATTCTTTCCTTAGCTTCTATTTCCCCATTTGTAAAATTGGGATGATGAGGACATCTTCCTTGGGTAGCTGTGACAATGAAAATGGGATCATCATGCATCAGCCTTAGCCCCACGAGTGCCACAGTAAACTCTCAGTAAGTGAGGTTGTCATCATTATTGTATATTTAAGATTATCTACCTATTCAGAAAACCCTAGTGACAGAGTCTCAATTGCTTTTCTTTTCGCATGAATGATTACTTGCTGAATTCATCAACCTCTTTAACATTTACCTTCCTTTATTGTGCTGGAACATTTTTAATGTCTTTTGTGGCTTCTCACTATGACTGCTTTGTTCAAAACTTATACAGGTCGAGTATCCTTTATGTGAAATACTTGGGCCAGAAGTGTTTTGGGTTTTGATTGTTTTCAGATTTTGGAATATTTGCATATATGTAATGAGCTATCTTGGGGATGGGACCCATGTCTAAACACAAAATTCATTTCTGTTTCATACACACTTAGCCATATACACAGAGCCTGAAGGTAATCTTACATAATATTTTAAATAATTTTATGTATGAAACAGTTTTGAATGTCTTTTGACTGTGACCCATCACATGAGGTAAGGTATGTGGAATTTTCCACTTGTGGCATCATGTCAGCACTCAAAACGTTTTGGATTTTGGAGAATTTCAGATTTTGGATTTTCAGATTAGGTGTGTTCAATCTGTATATATGGGTAAGATTCAGTTGTCTCCTTTAATCCTCGGCTGAAGGAAGCACTAAAGATTTTGGGGCCTTAATCTCCCATGCAGTGACACTCTCAAAGCCATTGACTCAGCTTCTCACCTGGGCTTCCTTCCAGTGAGCCGCAGATAGCAGTCATAGATAATGGCAGGGGCCCGGTGGCTGACCGCATTCCAGTACTGTGATGTGAAGCTGTTGCTGGTAAAATTAGCATTTGGCCTCCTGAAAGGTCTCTCAAATGGGATTTTTTCAAAGGTTGCCAAGACTTGGACTCCTGGGGAAAAAAGAAAGTAAGTGCTAGAGGAGAAAAGGAGAATATAAGTCCATCATAGTGGAAAGCATTTGTAATGGGTCAAAACAATAAAGACGAAGGATTTGCTGTGTAGAGTCAAGAATCAATTTCTGAGAACAATATAAAGATTTTTGTGCTGGGCAAATGGTTATCTGCAAACTGAAACAGTGTGAATGGGTTAATAATTGGATTCTTTAGTTGAAGCATTTACTGTAAAACAAACTATTGGGGAAACACTTGTCAATACAAGGAGGTACTGTTCAGAAAAACATGAATCTGCCTTTAATTCTAAGGTCATCCAGTCTATTCTGAAAGCCCCAAGACAGAGGCGAGAGACCTTATTTCCCTGGCTGGACCATTACTTTCAGAACCATTTAGAAAGTTTCTTAACATTTTATTTGAATCTTTATTAAAGGTTTAAGTAAAAGATTGTAAAGATTCTCAAGGCAAGATTTCTTTGTGTTAGTCTACTTCAAATACTTCTCTGGGAATATGTTAGACTCAATTGTCCACTCTGGTATCCAGAGTTTTATTCATAATAGTATTTTTCTTTTTATATTATTACTTAGATTAAGCTTAAGAACTTTTTATGTACATTTGTGAATTCAGTAGTTGTTTCCAAAAGATATTCATTTGAATTCAATTTTATTTAATGTATGTAGGTTTTTTTTCAAAGCATATGCCTAAGCTCATTATTCAATTATGATGATATCACTTATTATGGTAATATGATTATTGCCCTCCTTAAAAAAATACCAGCTAAAATCTGTCTGAAAATATAAATCCTATACAAAGAAGAGTCTCAAGAATCACCTGGTTCATAGGCATTTATTGAAACATTTGTGGCATTATTAAAACATTTGGTTCTGATAGCGTAAGAGATTCTGATCTCAACACTGACATTCTGATGTATATATCCATATACCTGTTCAACATTTCCATCTGGATGTGTAATAGACATTCACATTTAACAGCTCTAAAATTGGCCTCCTGATACTCCCACTACCAACCACCCCCTTCCCAATGCATACACAAACTTGCTTCTTCACTAATCTTCTACCTCTAACCAAATGGTAATTCAGTTTTTTTAGTAGTTCAGCCAAAAACTTTGGGGTCATCCTTGATTCTTCTCTTTAACAACCCACACACAATTCAACAAAATCTATCAGCCTTCTGTTTGAAAAATACCCAGAATCATAATTTCCACCTTCTGTGTCTCTGATCCAAACCACTACTGTAGCCTGGAGTGTTGCAGTACTGTCCTAAATGGTCTCTGCCACTACCCTTGTACTCCTACAGTCTGACCTCCATGTGGCAGCCGGAGTGATTCTTGTAAAATGTAACTCAGAATATATTACAGATACTTCTCCATTCAGAGCCCTTCAGTGGAATCTCATCTCATTTGGAGGCAAAGCCATGGTCTGGAAGGCTTTGCACACTCTGCATCCTCACTCTCTCTGCCCACCACTCTGACTTTATCTCCTACCATCCTCCCCCTCAGTGCTTCTGCTGCAGCCATACTGGCCTCCTTGCTGTCCTTGAATATGATTAAAGAGCTGTAGCACTTATTGTTTCTTCAACTTGGAATATCTCCTCCACATGTCCCTCTGATTTGCCCCCTCACTTCTTTCAGGTCTCTGCTAAGATGACACCTTATCAGGGAGACTTTCCTTGGCCATCACATATAAAATAGCAGCCTTCCCACATCACTATTTACTTCTTTAGTCTGTTTTATTTTTTTGCAGTCTCTCAACCATATCTGATGTATATTTCTCCTTTTTAAGATTTAAGTACCATAACAAAATTTTGTCTGTTTTGTTTCAACCTATATAGTACCTTGAAAGTGGCTGGCAGGTAATCAGTGCCCAATAAATATTTTTTGAGTAAATGAATGAATAAATAGCTCAGCAACATACAATTACTTTCCATTTCCTAAATCCATACCAATCCTTCTTTTAGTCATTACAAATACATTTATTTAGCATTTAACACTTGCTAGGCATTGTGGTAGGTGCTGAGGTAAAAAAATAATAATAATATATATGATATATTCCCTGTCTTTAAGGAATTGGCAATTTGGTGGGAGGTGTGGACAGTTTATGATTGCAATATTTTGCCTGAGTATTCTGCTAGAGATCAGTGCAGAGTATTCTGCTCTGGAGGAAGACAAAAGAAGCCTCTAGCTCTGTCTGGGTGCCAGGAAGGGGAGGGGTGAGGCTGGGTTAGGAAAGGCTTTCTGAGAAAGCTGTCCAAATGGTAATAGCAAGCGTTTACTGAAATGTTCACCGTTCTAATCACTGTGCTAAGCACTTTATCTCATTAAATCCTCCCAAGAGCTCCCTGGAATAGAATAATTATTATTCTCATTGACAGATAAAAAAAAAAAAAAAGATCTACAGGGAGAAACTGAGTGACTTTTTCAAGTTGATACAACTAGTAAGTAGTGGAGTCTACTAAATGGTAGGACCCATACCAGCATATAACATCTGTGTGGGCATGGATTTCTGTTTAGTGATGTATCCATAGCCCAAGAATAATGCCTATTTAATGAATACAGGAGTGAATGAATGAGCTAAGATTTGAATCCAAGTCTATTAGATCTTAAAGCCCAAGACTTTTAACCATTAAGCTACTGTCTTTCTGATCTGAAGGACAAGTAGAAATTCATGCACATGTAGAAAGTTTAATTTGGCAATTGAAAACTGCACTTCTACATCCTCATAGGTCAAAGAAGAATTTAAATGAAAAATGCTTAATGCTTAGAGAGTAATAACATAAACATCATACAACTAAATGTGTGGGATACAGCCAAAGTGGCATTTGAGCGAAATATAAAGCCATAAATGCATGTATTAGAAAAGCCGAATATTCGTGAGCTATATTTCTAAGTTAAAGAGAAGAAAGAAATAATCAAAGAAAACAGGAGGAAGGAGAAAATAGAGATAAGGCAATATATCAATGCAGTAGAAAATGAAGCAACATAATAAAGAATCAATAAAGCCAGAAGTTGGTTCTTTGAAAAAAATAATAAACCCTTTGGAGAAGACACACAACTATTATGAATTAAAAGAGAAACATAATTATAAATACAGTTTAGGACAAAAAAATTGATGTAATGTGAAAAATTTTATGTGAATACATTTTAAAACAAATTATTAGAAAAAGAGACAAATATAATTTACTAAAACTGATTCCAGTAGAAACTGAAAGCCTGCAAAATTCTTTAACTATTGAAGCAATACAGAATCCTTTCACAACAAAATTACAAATCCAGATAATTTATAGGTAATTTTACCAAGTTTCCAAGGAATAGATTGCTCCAATATTACACAAACACTTTCAGACAATAGAAAACAACAAGGGAAATATTAGCAAACTGAATTAAACAGAATATAAAAAAGATAATATGCTATGACCAACTTGGGTTTATCCTAAAAATGGCAGGATAGTTTAAAATTTGAAGAGTCTCAAGAATCACCGGTTCATAGGCATTTATTAAAACATATGTGGCATTATTAAAACATTTGGTTCTGTGCATAACCAAAAGTTATGCACAGGTTGATAGCATAAGAGATTCTGATATCCCATGTTCACCGACCCAGCTGTCTGTCACTCCTTGTAATGTCACCTGAGGCTATGTATGTTCAACCTCCTATGGCATGGCTACTGCTCCTAGTAGGAAGCATTTTGATCCCTCTTAACCCTGGTAGGAAACACAAACTAATTTAATTTGAATGCAACATCAGATTAATTAGTAATATCTTCCAGAAATGCTATATTAGATGGGAATCTAGAACAGAGCCTTGGCACAGGAAGAAACAATGTTGTATCAGCCAACAATGTTTGCTATAGGTGTAAGAGGAGGAGAGAAAAATACCTGCATGCCAGGTATTTTCCATTCTTGGAAAAGCATTTTTCAATTCAAAGCCTATTATAAAATGAGCCACAGTGTCTAGCTGCCCTGCAATAGAACTCTCAGTGTGGCACCATGGCTTACCACTGGAATGTGTAGAGGTAGTGTTACCTATGTAACAGGGAAAGAAAGTGTGCATTAGTAGGTAGTAAGAAATCCTACAGAATAGCCAAACTCCCTACTTTAACTTTCTACCATCATTAGATGTTTAAGTTGTACTCAACTCTATTTCCATGGTTTTATACATTGAACAGATCCAATCCTTTACATTCAGACAGATCAATCATTTGTATAGTACAGGGTTTCTCTGTTTCACCAAGCATCAAGAATCATCTAGATGCTTATTAAACATATAGTTTCCTCAGCACCACCCAAGACCTTGGTCCCAGGGTTCAAGGAATCTGGGTGTTGTTTTTATTTCTCCCATAGTGCTTCCTATTCACTTTTACAAATCGCTAGTGGAGTGGTTATTGCACACCTGAGAGGCAAGCTGCATAAATTAATGATCAGTATGATGGACTCAATAACAAAGGATTAATATCACCTAACTTTTCTATCTCATTGGTCATTGATGATGTCGCATTCTCAGTGACATATCAAGAAGGGAAGGGGTGTGTGTAGGAGCCATTGCTCCAACAGGGAGGAGTATTTCAGTATTTTATCACTGACATTCTTTATAACTGCCAACTTTTGCTTTGTTTCATCATTTTTAAAATCGCTATAGCCAATGGACCCCTTACTGCTTACAATCTTGTACATGTTGCCACTGACTCCTTTCTTTGGTAACCACAGTACATTCTAGTTAACTATCACACATTTACAATTTCTCATTATTTTGTCTCTTTACTTACTTTTTGTCTTTCTCCCCATATAAGCTCTAAGCTCCATGACACACTTTGTCAACTTTTTCTCTGTGCCAGACACTAGTAATTATAGAGTTACATAGCTAAAGTACTTACCCATTTTGTGCCAATTGCAGGGATTCATGTTACCAGATGTAATGTGGTAGACTAATGTTGACTTAGGTCTGGAAAATGAAATAAAAATTAGATAAGTACAACAAAATAGAAAACTAATGAGAGAAAAATAAGGAAAAATAATATTTAGACAGAGTGGTTTCAGTAATTCATCTGATTAAGGCAACCTATGAAAGGCTTCCATCGTTCATTCTTTCTCTGGGTTAATAAGCAAAATGGAAGAAGACTAGGAAAAGCATGTGTGTGTGTGTGTGTGTGTGTGTGTGAAAGAGATGTTAAATAGGAGTGACATATTATGGAGTACATATATGTGAGTTCACATAAGAAAAATTTAATTTACTAACAGACCCAAATATATGAACAACCTATTTTTTTTCCTTTGTACCAGGAAGCTTCCCCACACATCGTGACTGAACTTTTGGCATTTACCAGAGTTCAATTAAAAAAAAATTCTGTCATTTCATCAGCTTCTATCTCCTTTGCCCTAAAAGAGAAAGCTGAATTTTAGACTACTGAATAGAAAGAAAAGCCTTTTGGTTATCAAGAATTTTATGGTTAAGTGATTTAAAGGTTTTATTACTTTATGAGTAGCCAAGTACTAAACTGTATTTATAAAACAACTCAATGCATATATGATGGCATATTAGGAACTCTATAAAATATTGAAATACGCACTTTCACACATTTGGGGTCTTGTACAATGAAATGCCTATATTTGGAAAATGGGCCTAATATATTCACTCTGCCCCTCATGAAGTCTTTGAAAGCCCACTTGAGCATCCACACCTGTGAACTGCAGTATACCATCCTACAGCTAGCATGAGATTGACGACTGTATCAACTGGAATTACGTCTGCCACAGCCATTGGAGTAGCTTTTATGGCCCGAAGAAACCCTTTCCCAGTCTGCATAGGAAAAAGAACATAAAATATTAAACCAGGTCTTAAATAATAGCTGGGGCTAAAGTATGTATCATCAAACTGGTTATACTAGTGCAATAAGTGAAAACAGCTAACATTGATCCACTGCTTACCAGGTTCTTATGCTAAGTCTGACTTCCTCAGCCTATCCTACCTTCCCAGCCAAGTGCATGCGTCTCCAGCATTTTCATGAACTACTAGTGTTCCTCACGTTCCTTTAGGGAATAAAATTCCTCAAATTTGTGAGAGGTTAATAAACTCAATTAACAAACACCAAGAATAAACTTTTACATCTTAAAAATTAATTCATAAGACATGTTAAGAATTAAGGTTATACAAATTTCCCATTAATTTTCCCATTAATATTTGTTTACCATTTCCTTGATGATTTTGTTTTCTGCTAGGGTTTATTAACTTACAAGCAATAGTAGGCACTAAAAGTTTAAGAAATACTTATTTGAAAAACATTAATTGGTGAAATTCCACCATTAATAAAAGAAAACTTTTTTTTTGGCTTGGAAAAATTGCCTTATTATTTACTTTTTATTCAGTATCTTAGTTCACCTCACAGATCACTGATGTTATATAGATGCAAGAATTAGGAATTATTCATGTTAATAATTGGTTGAGTTTATGAAATTGATTCTTTGTGCTTTGCATGTTTCCAACATTGATTTGCAACGATTAGCACTTTCTTATGTTACTCAGTTCTGTTTTCTTATAACTAGCTCCCCTTCTTTTGGACATAAGAAACCAATTTAGAACATTTTAGAAAATGTAAATAAATATGTAGCTTTGCATGTAATGAAAGCCGTTTTGGGATCACGTTAAAATAATGATGTTCTAAGTCACTAAACGTTCACCCCAACTGAACTTTTGTAGAAGAAAGAGTTGAAGGCAGGTGGGAAGCAGAAAGAAAGGGGCTGCTAGAAAAATCAGAAATCGGAAGGAAGATCTTTGTCACTGTTATAATTCACTGTCTCATATCTGTATTGCAATTCATGTTGAACCTAGTTCTGGGAGGAACAGAGTCAGAGTCTGAATCGCAGTCTAAATCCCTAATAAAATTTAAACTCATTTAGATCACTGATTTCCTATTCATTGTACAGAAGAATGAAGTGGGGTTTAGACCCTAAATGCTTCAGTGTGAGCTGTGAAGCCCCACAGCTTGGCTGGATCAATCTGGACTTCGGGCAGATGCGCACTAAGGGCTGCTTACCTAGAGGAGCCACGTTTCTCCTGGTAAGATATTATTGAAAAGATGTTGCCTATATTCATGGATTTTTGTATTTGAAAAATTTGCTCCAATTGGTAGTTCTCTTTCTTGTATTCATTAAAAATTATTGATGTATATCTCTTTTCTACACACGCACATAAACTCTTACATGTGTTTTATAATCAAGAATTTAATAATCTTTGAAGATATTTTTACTGCATCCTCAATTCACTGCACTAATTCATGAGATTATAAACTGCAAAAAGGAGGAAATACCCCCATCTTGTGGTAACTAAAGAAAAGTCCTTGATGCTCAAAGACTTCAAAAATAAAACTCCTAAATAGTAACTGATAGCACATTACCTCTGTTTTTCTGATAAAAAATTCTCAAAGAATAATTTCATCCTGCCTGTATATTACAATCAGAACAATTAAAATAATATGCCTCAGTTATTAGTAAAGTAACATTTATGTTTTTGGATCAATGAAGCTAAGCCAGCACTAAGAATTTTGTTACTATTTCTCTACTACATTTCAGGGAGTTATTTCTTCATCATTATACATACCGCAATAATGATTCCATTAGGTCCATTTATATTATCAACCCAACCCTAAAAGAAAGAAGATTTCTATTGGTTACACATTTCAGAAAATTGTTTTATCTTTGGAACATCTGCAGTCTAATCTTAATAAATTTCAAACAAGAGCACTGAGATCCCAGCCAATAGAACTATCTAATTCAGTATTATTAAGATCTCAAAAGATAATGGCAAAGCATTGGCCATTTTCTGTACTTTATTTGACTGTGCAAAAATTAGAATTTTGCCAGGATTGTTTTTCTTAGCAGGAATCATGAATGGTTTTGTGGTGTTTTATGACCTCTTATGGACTAAATTGGACCTTGTCCTTATATCATGATCTGCTAAGCAATTCACCAACCATACTTCTCCACCTTAGTCCTGATTTCAGCCTCCTTAGGAGAACATTGAAAACATGATTTGTGTTAATGGCCCATTTCTTAACATTTTTTACCAGCTATAGAGTCCATGCCAGATATATATACATATATATATATATGTGTGTGTGTGTGTGTGTGTGTGTGTGTGTCTGTGTGTCTGTGTGTATATTGACTTACTTAAAGATGTTACAGAGATTATATTTAAGAGCAGCTAGAGGGAAATGTGTTTTTAAGTTTGTTTCTTAAGACCTAAGCCATTCAGCTGACCTTATTATGTCTCTTTACGTTACAGTATAAAAGTCAAATGTGTGAGTATAACAGGAGAGGAGAGAGAAGAGAGGAGAAGATGAAGGGATTAATATTTGTTGAGCCTTTTAGTAGGGACCACTCCTCATACATTGTCTCATCAAATCAACTCTCCATAGTATCTGTCCTGTTTTATGGAAGGGACAACTCAAAAATGTTGCATTACCAGTAAGTAGTGGAGCTGGAATTTATCTACCCCAAAGCTTCACAGACTTGCTTTCAAGAAGATGGTATAATTCAAAGTACTTTCAAAAGGTCATGACAGTATACTGAGGTTTAAAAAAAATTAGTATTCCTAAACTGAGATCCTTCTGTGAGCTTTGAAACTCTTGTTTACCCTGGCAGTTGTAATACTACCAATTTGGCCATCAAGGACATTCTGGTATGCTTAAACTATAGTAGGAAAGCCAAGATATGAAACCATCACCCATGTGAATTTTGAGACTAGAGTAGTTAGAAGCTAATTTAAGCTCTCCGTCCAACTCTAGGGCAGTCAAGATAACTGCCAGAGGAGCCACATGCTGGGTAAATCCTGAACCCAAAGTGGAATTTTGCCCTAGTATAATGGGTTCATATTCGATTGGCTGCACTTAGCTATAAATCCTGAGGAGGAGAAGAAGAAAGACATCAGAAAGTAATTGGACTAGAAGAACCTTAGTTTGGAAGCAAAACACAGAATCCAGGTAAGTGGGCTTACTGGGAAAGGCTCCTGCCAAGTTGCTCCCACAATGGAGGGCCTTATGATGGCAATGTTCAGGTTCCTGCTCTCTTGCTGCACCACCATTTCTCCCAAGGCCTTGGTGTAGGTATAAATATTGGGCCAATCTCTGATCAGCTTGGGTGTAATCTCGTCAATAATAGCATCGTCTAACCACCTAAAAGGTAGAGTAAAGAGAATTCTAGTAACATATGTTAGACAATAAACCAAAAGGAAAATGTGAGACACAATCAAACAAAACTTCCACCTTTTAGCCTCGGTTCTGGAATTCAGAACAGTCACATGATACCAAGTTTGAGTGTGTACCTGCTCAAAGCATGCATGAGCTTTTTGCTCTTCACTGCTAAGCCCAATCTTATCCTATGCCCTCCCATCCAAACAGATAGGTAGGTAGGTAGGTAGGTAGGCAGGCAGGTAGGTAGATAGACCGATAGAATCAATAGCAATACTACTTTATTACGAATGATAGCATAGGACTATTAGTACTACTTTATTAGTATTACTTTAGCACTACTGCTACTTTATCAGTACTGATTACTACTTTATTGTAGTAGTACTAAATTAGAACTTTAGTACTATATTAGAGATTATTATTACTTTACTTCCTCTCTAGCAAGCTCATAAGTACACTCATTGAACACATATTTGAGTCCCAGTCATTCTCCCAGTAGTGTGCTGCATGCTGTGTTCAGGGAGTTAGAGGCTGTCATCCAAGGTGCTTCAGTGGCAGCCCTACTCAGTGTTGTCCGATAAAAATCCAGTGCAGTAATCCTGAAGCCTTTAGCTTTAAATTTTAAAAATTCCACTCAATGCAAATCAAATCAAAGTGACTACTTTTGGCACTTACAGTCTGTTTTAGCAAACCTATGTAATGCATTTTGAAGGTCTGTTTAGAGTCTATGCTAATAACTTGAAAATTATCTCCAGAGATTTCCAGTGAATTCTGAAGTCTGTCAAGTGGGGTGATTATAGTGCTCTGAAATAGCTTCAAAATCACGATTATTGACTACTCCTACTTACAAGATAATGTATCATGAATAACCAAGTTACCATAGCATCAGCCTAATCTTTCTTAAAAATATGTCAGAACCACTTGATAACCCCAAAGTCTATCTACACCTCTCTAAGAAAGCAACAAAAGTATTGTCAATTATATATTTAACATTCTTCTAGCTGACAGATCTATGTGGTTAAATCATTGATATAACATAGCTTTTTAAAAATTAAGCTGCCGAAATATGCTAGTGTGATTTTTCTAATCAATGTGGTATATTTATTTCTATTTTATAGAACAGAACAGAACTATACTATTTTGATTGTAGAAAATCTTCACTGTTACCACTTTGCTGACATGACAAATTTTTGAGCAGCTAAGATGTGCATGATGTTAAGACTTATTCAGAATCACAACTTTCAATTTTAATGCCTCATTTGATCCTGAGGTAGAACATGGGCATCGACTATAATGTTTCCACTTTTCTTGCTTTGCTTCTATTAGTGCTGAGTGTGTTCTGGATACTCAAATGTCTTTTTATTTGAATTGAATAGAGAAAGATTGAGGGGTTCTAGAATTAAAAACAACTTCAACTACATAGAAATATCTAGGATATTTTAATTATATGGTCACCTGGGGGCTGGGAAAGAATATAGGATGATGCAGACACCTCTCCATCTTAACAGTCCTACCACTATCTCATTTCATTTGGTGGGTCAACAGTGGATTGACTGACCTGAGACCATTTTCTCTCACCTGCAAAAATATATAGTTTATGAAAACCAGGTCTTGAGGGAATAAAGCTTAATTTCAATAAAGCTGTAAAAAAAAAAAAACCTAGGAAACATCAGAGCCCAATAATGTGCAGGGATTGTATGTCACATGGCTAGTACCAGTTGCTGTCATTAATGTTGGGGTACATGGAAAGGATAATATTTGGGGGGATAGGGGCCTTATAAAGCTTGGTGAGTTTGCTTGTCTTAGAAAATTTTGGTTTCGTAGATTTCTGACAGCACGCATGCAAGAAATTTTAATATTCTATAGATGACTTGCCTCTGCTACTCTCAGCTACACCTGTATTCCACTGTTTTATCTTTTCATTCCAATTGTACTTGTGAAAATGGCAATAATTATACTGATTCTAAATTCTCATAAGAGTAAACAGGAATATAAATTACCTAGTTCCAATTGTACTTGTGAAAATGGCAATAATTATACTCATTCTAAATTATCATAAGGGTAAACAGGAATATTCACAACTGCATTTAAGCTCTTTGATAAAACAAAATGAGCCAATAAACCTAAGGCATTGTTATTTTTTAATAAAACAACCAGTGAGCATGCATCTTTGTAGGTAATAGTTAGTTTTAAAGTGTCATTTCTGGCCAAGTGCGGTGACTCAAACCTGTAATCTCAGCACTTTGGGAGGCTGAGGAAGGAGGATCGTTTGAGTCCAGGAGTTTGAGACCAGCCTGGGCAACATAATAACACCCTGCCTCTACAAAAAAAATGTAAAAAAATTAATGGGGCATGGTGGTGTGCACCTGCAGTTCCAGCTACTCAGGAGGCTGAGGCAGGAGGATTGCTTGAGCTTGGGAGTTGGAGGCTCCAATGAGCCATAATTGTGCCACCATACTCCAGCTTGGGTGACAGAGACCCTGTCTCAAAAAAATAAAATAAATAAAAATAAAAATAAACAAATAAAACAAATAAAAATAAAATATCACTTATAATACAGCCAAACAGACCATCTGAAGCTCATCCAGCCACTTCCTAGGTTCAGAGGAGATTAGTGTAATAAACATGCACATCCACTGGTTGGGCCAAGCCATTCTTAGGACTTAAACACTCAATTCAGGGTTGCTGCTGCTGTTTGTTCTCAATTTGTTTTTAAAACAGTAAATAAGTTAGCATAGATAAAAAACACATATAAACCAAAATACATGTCTGAAATTAATCTAAATGTCCTCCAGTATACTCAAGAAGATGTTTTGAACCCATGGGTCTCAAATTCTAAACTTGAATTGCTTCAGAAGAAGCATAAAGTCATTGAAAATTTCAGAAAGCAGTATGTATATGTCTATGTGTGTTCACATATACACACATACACAATTTCTTCTAAATATTATCAATTTTGGTTTCAAACTTATTGAATCAACATGATTATATCATTAATGGTTTATTTATGTATTTACTGAATGAATTACCAAGAGGCATATGTATTTCCCCTCCCCTGATACCCTCAATTTTCTTATGCAACAAGTGGGCAAGCCTAGTAGTTTATCAGGAAATCTGTTAGAGAGTAAGTAGTGGACACACTGTCTTATGATAATGTTTGCTCTCTCTTTCTCCAGGGTAGATTATGTCATTCTCTTGATTGTTGTAGTTATCAAGTTGTATTTGCTTATGTGTCTGTCTCCCCACTGGACAGACAGTGAGTCCAGAAGATCAGGGATTATGATTTTTATCACTGTGTCTAATCACCTTTCTGCCCCCAGGAGCCAGCTGCCTTATTCAGTAAATGCATGTTCTTCCACATGATAATCTTGATTGGCCAATTTCTATACTATGTAAGGTTTTGGGAAGCAGAGATGGACAATGATGAGAGAAAGTGGATGAACTCAAAAGAAGACGAGGTTGTAGGGAGAATGTGGGAAAGGAAGGAAGGGGTTATCTTTTAGAGCAGGAAGCAAAATTGGAAGTAAAGTGTCCAGTGGCAATGGTGAAAAGTGTTGACCAACCTCGTTTTGGTGAAGGTGGCTTCAAGGTCAACTTAAACTTTCCAGTGGGAAGCAGGGTATTTCTGAGCCTAATGCTTATGGAGAATTGGCCTCTGTATTTCCCTCAAGACTTTTACGGAGCACCTAGCCAGGCTCAAACATGAGCCAGATGCTGAATACCCTGCCAATGGCCTGCCATTTGAAAATTACTCAGTTTGGTTAAGAAACAATTTAATCTTATTCTGGTTTGTAATTTAAAGCCTGCTAATATCAAAGTACACAGAATTCTCATTTTTACTTAGCTACATAGATGTCATTTTGAAGCTGTGCCATCCTGAAATTAAAAGCACAAGTGCTAGAATCAGCTTTCACCGTTCCCCTAGAAGAGGTCAGCTTTTTTAGTGTTAACAATGTGTTCTATAGCACGAAGGCAAAAAAGACTACTTTCTAACATCTGACCTCCTTTCATATCTCCCAGAGGACTGTGATAAGGGCCACTGCTGCTGGCTGTGGGGGCCTCCATTCCCCTGCCTCTCACACCTGCACCCTCAGTGCACACGCCACCTTTCCTTTTTCACATGGCAGCTTAGCTGTGTCTTCTGGTGACTGTGTAGCCTCAGAAGCATGGTTTTTAGTAGGTACAGATCTACTAGGAACTTTCCATTAAAGCTTCTAAGAACTGAAAGACAACAGGAGGCAAGGAGAGCAGGAGAAAGAGGGAGCATAGAGATAAAGAAGATAAATGATCCTCATTTCAAATGAAGACTGCTCAGTGAAAAACCTCCTTAAGGTAGTCTTTCCCAAACTTGCCTGCTCATAAATATGAATTACACAGGGCCCCTGGGAAAAATCCAGATTCCTGGGTACCATTTTAGAATCACTAAATACATCTGCAGAGTTAAGAGTCTGATAATCTGTATTTTCAACATGCCCTGGAAATTCCAACAGTCGGGCAAATCAGGGAATCACTAATTTAAAAGAAGTCCACTCCATAAACTTAAGTCATTGAGATTTGAATATATCAGGATTAGCTCTCAAAAACGCATTGCTTCATGGAGTAAAATTTCAACAGAATTGAATTTTAAAAGAATTAAATCCCTGGTACTAGAAATGCAAAACATGACAAGTATGCATGTTCTAATCTGGAGTTAATTTGATAGGTGCAACCCCATATGCAAAGCAGTAGCCATGTCCTATTGTTTTTTTCTTTCCCAAAACATGGAGATGTTTTTTATACCTGTTGCCTCACCCTCATTCTAGTCTTCCATACTACTCCTCTCTGGTAATGGGTCTCGCTTCCTCCGTCTACTCCCTATGCTAATCCACTGCCTCCCCCGGCCCCTGGCTATATTAATATTCCTGAAGCCCACTTTCATCAGTATTTTTCCATGATGAAAACAAATGAGCAAACAACCCCAAATTACACACAAAAATGCATGCGCACACATGGCCCTCCTTCAATGGATCTCTACTGCATAGAGAATTAAATACAATTCCTCTGCATGGTATGCAAAATCTCCACAGTATGGCCCATCCTCCCCTCCAGCTTGATCTCTAACTTCTTCCCTACACGTAACACATGCGCTGCCAAGATGGACTACTGGCTGTGTCCCAAACACGCCTGGGTTTCCCAGCTCCAGCTGCCCTGCCAGGCACGTGTGCACATCTCACCTATCCACACTCTATCCACTCTTCCAAGTCTTCTCATATGCCTCCCTCCACTCCACCAGACTTAATATGACCTGTTTCCCCACCACCACACGTGTATAATTCTGCCGTGTTCTATTTGTCTTGGATACGAGCTCTTTGGAACATAGTCTATATCTTAAGAAAGCACCTTTTTTTTTTTTTTTTTTTTTTTTTTCCTTTGAGATGGAGTCTCGCTCTGTCGCCCAGGCTGGAGGGCAGTGGCACAATCTCTCGGCTCACTTCAAGCTCTGCCTCCCGGGTTCACGCCATTCTCCTGCCTCAGCCTCCCGAGTAGCTGGGAGTACAGGCGCCCACCACCACGCCCGGCTAATTTTTTGTATTTTTAGTAGAGACGGGGTTTCACCGCGTTAGCCAGGATGGTCTCGATCTGACCTCGTAATCCGCCCAACCCAGCCTCCCAAAGTGCTGGGATTACAGGCTTGAGCCACTGCACGCAGCGAGAAAGCACCTTTTAATCTCTACCACTGCCAAGTACGTGAGTAGACTGGAAAGACCATGGGCTTCAGAATCAAGTGGCCATGGATAAAAATTGTGTCTGAGAGACTTTCAAGGAGTTACTTAGCCATTTTGAGCTTTTTGCTCCGTGATTAGTATAGCAGTGATAATAATATCAACCTTACAATATTACGTTATGGAATTAAATGTCTGTGGAAGTGTCTTCCTCACAGTAATTGCTCAATAATGATTCATGTCCTCCCTTCCCTTCTTAATTCAGATTTATTTACATATGCTCAATAGAGCAATAAATATTTGTGATTCCATTTTTCTAGTACCTGCTTCCAGTTATTTCAGGTTTTTATACAGGCACAAAAGCCCTTTTCTTCTACACTGCTTTCCCTAAGAGGAGTTACCTTGACCTAAAAAATAAGGAAAGCACCAACCATAAAACCCTGCCTTTCTTGGTCAGTTATGTGCATTTTAAAAAATAAACATTCTACATAAGCTGTTATTCTGGAAAACTGGAATTTCACTGGCAATCCCTGATCCATTTATGCACATAAATTTCCAAAGGTAAATATACCAACTAGGCAGAAGCTGGCAATATGAAGGTAGAGCTGAGTCAGAATGGGAACCGGTGGCTGGGATGAGGGGCAGAAGACAACTACAGATATAAGAGCCAGGAAAATGAGTCGCTAAACACTGATTAACGGCCAGGCTTGTCATACTCATTAAAAGCATTAACTCCTGATTTAAGTTATTTTTAAAATATATTTCTGCTAATGTGCTAAAGTTTTTGTACTAACTTCATCTTTCTGGAATATTTCAGGGCCAAGGTAATGCTAAAAGTTTTTAGATAGGGGCTAAAGAAAGGGAGCTCAGGCCTGACAGTCTCAGCATACAGGATGGATAGAAAATGGGGGGAGCTGAATGAGCAGAGACTTTAGGCCTGCAAAGGTTGGGACCAGGATGTAAGCATGGGGTTCAAGTTCACAGTCCCATTATTAACAACACTGAGCAGTACCACTGCTGCCCAAGCAAACAGGAAAGGTCCGGGCCAAAAATGCATATCCTTCTTTATTTCCCAGAACTGGAATTCCCATTCAACTGATTTTCTGGAAAAATAAAGTTTCATTTTACGTCGTCATGGTGATTTTCTTGAGAATATAATGCCAAGAGTACAGCTTCAAGATCATCTTGTTGTCTAACGCCTGGTTCCTTATAAATAAATAAATAAGAACTGCTGAATTACTAAGAGCAATGGCAGCCACTAGACCCCTTGAAGTTACTGTTAACAACAACAACAACAACAACAACAACAACTTTCCCCCAGGCATTTCTCTGTTGCACTGAAAGAAAGGAAAACTCCCAGGGGAAATAGAAACCTAAAAACCTTGGAAAATAATTCCATTTTAACACAGACCAATTACTAAATAGAGAATTACTCAAAGAAACAAAGTATTTTCCTAAAACAAAGAAACTAAACCTGGATTTAGGTGAATTGATATTTATTCAGAATGATTTTTAATGTTGTTATTCTAAAACTTCCAAAAATTCCATCTGGTATAGGAGTCGTTGAAATAGTCGTAGATCATGGTATAGTTGGTGAGGGGTTGCTGGGTTTTATTTAAAGTGCTATTCAAAAGTTAACATACAGGTTTCATTCAAAGTTTAAGAAGAAAAAAATGAACAACCAGAAACAAGGGTAAGATGTGGGGATATGGATAGATATTTTATACATAAGACTTCTGCATCCCAAAATATCAGCTTGTTACAGAATTCTGTCATCTATTCTTGCTTCAGTCAAAACAAACAAACAAAAACAGTCAAAACAGTATGAACAATAATCGTCTATGCCACCAAAAGCTTTTCATTCATTCAGTGAGCATTGAGTCCCTAGCTGGAGATGCAAAGAGGAGCAAGAAATATTCTCTTCTGTTGAGAAGCTCATTGTCTAATGTAGAATGTAGATAAGCAACCAGACATTCAGAATGACCTGTGTTACAAGCAATAATACAGCTGAACACTGGGTACTATGGGAGCACTTGGGAAGGGTGCCTAAGCCAGAGAGCTTCGCTGGGGAGCCTTGATATCTGAGTAAGAATTAACCAGGTGAAGCAGAAGGGGAACTAAGCTCTAGGGACAAACAGAGTTTCGAGTGCAAAGGCAGGCAGAGTATGAGGAGGGAAGGCCTTACTTCTTTGTGACTGCAGCATGAAAGTAAGGGGAGGACTGAGAGAGATGAGGCTGGATAGGTGGTCCTGGATGTCCTAATTAATTCTGAATTAGCAAATAATAAGTATGACTTTTCCCTGTTTTTTAAAAAAACTTAGTTCCTTAATTGCACCCAGAATTTATCTGTTGAGATAAAATAATTTCATTCCTAGTTCTAATTAGTTGCTTAAATAATTGTTATCCTTGGAGAGCAGTAAATGACAGATGGAGGTTAAAAATTTTGTACAAATGTCAGTTACAGTTTGTTCATAAATCATGTAGCAATTACCTGCCTTGTCTGGTTGACATATACTTGAGGGAGGATGGAAAGTGCTGAATGCCTGAAGATAAATCAGCTCTTCCTCTGGGAGGTGAGTTTATTCTTCTTTGAAACCTAGGGGTATTTAGTGTCTGGATATAGTTTGGGAGGAAGTGGTATGGAGTACCTAGAGAAGCCCTTCACTATGGGTGAACTCTTACTTCTTTTCTTTTCTTTTTCTTTCTTTTTTTTTTTTTTTTTTTTTTGAGACAAAGTTTTGCTCTTGTTGACCAGGCTGGGGTGCAATGGTGCAATCTCAGCTCACTGCAACCTCCACCTCCTGGATTCAAGCAATTCTACTGCCTCAGCCTCCCAAGTAGCTGAGATTACAGGCATGTGCCACCACACCTAGCTAATTTTTTGTATTTAGTAGAGACAGGGTTTCACCATGTTGGTCAGGCTGGTCTCGAACTCCTGACCTCGGGTGATCCACCCACCTCGGCCTCCCAAAGTGCTGGGATTACAGGCATAAGCCAACACACCTGGCCTCTTACTTCTTTTCTCTGATGAACTCTCAGGCTCTTTTGCTACCTCAAATTGCACTATGACCTGTCAGGTGTTAGAGAGATCAGCAGTGGAGAAAGTCCCAGGAAACAATCTGGAATCAAAAGGGGTCTGCCCCTCTCCTGGACATATCAAATATGAAAACATCACATTTACCAAGAGACAACACCATAAGAGGGTAACTGACAGAAACCAATTCCATCCTGAAAATGCTCTGAGGCTTTAAACATACTTTATTGTCTAGACTTTGGGCCTCAGAATACACCTGCTTTTTCTCCCACTATCCTGATGAACTCTGCACTCTAAAATTTTTCTCTGTACCAATTTAGCAAACCTCCATTTATTAGCAACTTTAACCTCCAGATCCTTTAGATGACTTTCATTCTTCTTTGTCCTGGATATTTTTACATGACAGACAAAAATATCTATTCTCAGAGCTGGAGGAGATAAAAATGTTTGCCCTGAAGGTAATGAACTCTTGATTTAGCTAAAACTTTTTAAAGAGTATATATTAAATATAAATACAGTATTATATAAAATTATAATGTGACAAATTCATTGTGAAATAGTCCATTTTTCTGCTATAATACTTTTTATATAGTTTTTTACAAAAAAAAAAAACAAGGTAAACTTAGTAAAATGGAGCAGAAGAATAAAGAAGCAGAAAACAAACTTATTCTAAGACCTGAGCTGTGTTTTAAGATGAAAGTGGTTTCTGCTCATTGGCAAGAAGAGAAAAATCCTAGACATTATTTCTCTTGCATCCTAGGACAGTAAAGAAAGTGTGTCTCAGCCAAATAAGTCAAGAGACTGTCACCTTCTGCCAGATCTTGGAGCAATTCTTATTCTTCATTAGTTCTTTTTTTTTTTTTTTTTTTTGAGACGGAGTTTCACTCTTGTTGCCCAGGCTGGAGTGCAACGGCACAATCTCGGCTCATTGCAACCTCTGCCTCCCAGGTTCAAGCGATTCTCCCCAGGTTCAAGTGATTCTCCTGCCTCAGCCTCCCAAGTACCTGGGATTACAGGCGCCTGCCACCACATCCAGCTAATTTTTGTATTTTAGGCTGGTCTTGAACTCTTGGACTCAGGTGATCCACCCGCCTCAGCCTCCCAAAGTGCTGGGATTACAGGCGTGAGCCACCACCCCCAGCCTCTAGTTCTTTTTTATGAATTATTTGATTAAGTGCTGTTAAACACTCCCTAGCACTGCAATAAGTGTTTTATATAACTTTTTTCAACCTCACAACTATAAAATGGGCCCATTTTACAAATGAAGGACTTGGGGCTCAGAGAGGGCAAGGAATTTGCTCAGTCACACAGGTAGTTACTGGTGGAGCTATGCCAAACTCACGTCAGTCTGAATCAGACATTTTTCTTCTGAACTTTTATACTATACATTATACTTGCTTTATCCAGTGACAATGCTAAGTTCATTAAGAAGTGAGAAACAACTTCTATGTATAGTATTCCCAAGTACCTCATGCAATCCTACGCAATTCCACAAAATGTTTAAGAATTTTCTATCCCCCTTCTCTTTTAGCAGTATATTCCCCACCAGAACTAGCAGGGACAAGGTAGCTAAGGCTAGCACCGTTTCAAAACATTTTGCTTCAAAAGTGTTTGACTTCATCATCTCATTAATAGCTACAAAGAATCAAAGAGAACAAAGGAACTTATTCTACCCGCCCCTTGATCCTTTTATTAGACCAACTTACTCAAGGGAATCAATGATTTTTTTTGGCTCCACAGGGCACGGATAGATAACTTCATCGATGTGCTTCAGGTTACAATTTGAATAGGCAGTAGAGATATGTATAAAGGCTTCCAGCTTTGGCATCTGACTAGCCATAAGCAAGAGCTGCCGGGTGGCAGTGACGTTAAGTTGCACAGCATGTCTAGAGAAGATTAAGCAGAAGGAAATACAATGAAGTAAGTCAGTATCATGCCTTGCTATAACTGCACCTACTCCAATAACTGGCATACCTATCAGATTTTGGTGGCCGCACCAAAACACCAGGAAGAGAAGGATGGGTCATGGCTACACAGTTATGTGATACTCGGAATGTTTTATGTAGTGATGATGTGTTTTGTGCACATAAATCCTATTCACTGACACACTGTACATATATCTAGAGGACAATTGGTTCTAATCAACCGGAAAAAGAATTACAATACTCTGAATTTATAAAGGTGCTTCTATAGGCAGCCATTAAAAGAACACAAACATGTAAATTAAGCATCTAACTGAAGAAGTTGGAAAATGTAAATAAACTGGAGGGGAGCAACAGTACATTTTTTAAAGGAGCAATGTAAGTTGCTCTTGTAAAGATCCAGGCAAGACATGAAAATTGATGTCAAAATCTAAAATTGCAGCTAGTAGAATGCAAAGCTATATAAACAGTATGTGATAACAATGAAATAGTTCATTCCAGGAATACATGGTTTATCAAATACCAGGAAACTTACTAATTTAATTTAACTCAAATGAGAAAAACTATATAAGAATCTATATGTATTTTGAAAAGTTTAAAATGACATTTAATTTCCATTTCCAATTTAGTTAAACAAATTCACTAGAACTGGTGAAAAGCTAGGAGCACTGCTTGTAACGTCAGTGGTAGGAATAATGCCTACAATCACACTACTACTTAACATTGTTCTGAAGTCCTAGCCTTGGAATTAATTAGAAAAATAAAATTAAAGAACAGATATAGATACTAAAAAGACAGCCACAAAAATTACTGTCGGATTATATAATTGCATACATGGAAAACAGAAGCAGCTTTTTAAAAAAACTGAAATGTACTATAATTCAGTAAGGTGTCCACTGATAAAAATTACGTTAAAAGGCCGGGCGCGGTGGCTCACGCCTGTAATCCCAGCACTTTGGGAGGCCGAGGCGGGTGGATCATGAGGTCAGGAGATCGAGACCATCCTGGCTAACAAGGTGAAACCCCGTCTCTACTAAAAATACAAAAAATTAGCCGGGCGCGGTGGCGGGCGCCTGTAGTCCCAGCTACTCGGGAGGCTGAGGCAGGAGAATGGCGTGAACCCGGGAAGCGGAGCTTGCAGTGAGCCGAGATTGCGCCACTGCAGTCCGCAGTCCGGCCTGGGCGACAGAGCGAGACTCCGTCTCAAAAAAAAAAAAAAAAAAAAAAATTACGTAAAAAATCACTAGCTGCTTGTATATAAACAAAAATTAGAGAAGAAAAGGGAAGAAATGTCCAAAGTTGAACGTTTAAAATATATCAAATTCATCATAAATGAATATATAATAACAAAAAACAAATAAAAAATTGAATAAAATGGGAAAACATATTGTTCTTGGATGGGAAGAATGAATATTTTAAATATACTAAATGTTTTTAAAGTATTCTACATATACAAGGTAATTCTAATCAAACTCCCAAGTATTCTACATATGCAAGGTAATTCTAATCAAACTCCCAAGATTTTTAAAAACCTGGCAAAATTATCTTAAATTTAATCAGGAAGTATATGCAAAGAGAACAGTAAGGAAAATTCTATAAAAATGGAAGTGTGGCTGGGCACGGTGGCTCACGCCTGTAATCCCAGCACTTTAGGAGGCCGAGGCGGGCGGATCACCTGAGGTCAGGAGTTCAAGACCAGCCTGGCCATGATTGTGAAACCCCGTCTCTACCAAAAATACAAAAATTAGCTAGGCATGGTGGTGGGTGCCTGTAGTCCCAGCTACATGGGGAGGCTGAGGCAAAAGAATCACTTGAACCCAGGAGGTGGAGGTTGCAGTGAGCCAAGATCACGCCAATGCACTCCAGCCTGGGCAACAGAGCGAAACTCCATCTCAAAAGAAAAAAATACAGTGCTGTGAGTATGCTTGCTCTAATATAATAGAAATTACAGTAATTAAAATGATACAGTACTGGAAGTGAAAGCCTGATTTAATGTAACAAAATAGTTTAAAAACTGAAATTTAGTTTAAGAGCTTTATATCAGATAAAGAGTAAAAATAAAATATTTAACAAATATTGTTCAAAAACTAACCATGTGGCAGAAAAAAAAAATAAAGCTGCTTTACTTTCACATCTGCATCACTCTTCTTACAGAATTGGCCCGTACTCCTCT
Source organism: Homo sapiens (assembly GCF_000001405.40). Classification (NCBI taxonomy): domain Eukaryota; kingdom Metazoa; phylum Chordata; class Mammalia; order Primates; family Hominidae; genus Homo; species Homo sapiens. The sequence goes on along the minus strand of NC_000012.12, from coordinate 29,294,811 downwards.
TTCTAGGTAAATACTTTATAAATGGATCAAAAATCTAAATGTAAAAATGAAACCATAAAAATACTAGGAGAAATTATAAATAACTGCATAAATAATTGACTTGAAAGACATTTGATAAATTGTTAAAATAGTTTCAGCCTTATAAAAGATGAAGAATTTAATGGCCAGGCACAGTGGCTCACGCCTGTAATCCCAGCACTTTGGGAGGCCAAGGCGGGTGGATCACCTGAGGTCAGGAGTTTGAGACCAGCCTGGCCAACATGATGAAACTCCGTCTCTACTAAAAATACAAAAATATTAGCCGAGCGTGGTGGCAGGCACCCGTAATCCCAACTACTTGGGAGGCTGAGGCAGGAGAATCGCTTGAACCCAGGAGGCGGAGGTTGCAGTGAGCCAAGATCCTGCCATTGCACTCCAACTTGGGCAACAAGAACGAAACTGTCTCAACAACAAAAAAAAAATTAAGAATTACTGTGCTGAAACTTTCAAGAAGTCTTAATAAGAAAAAAATGTTTCAATAGAAAAATAGGCAAAGAACATCAATAGGCATTTCACAAAGAACAAAATGCCAATAAGCATTTAAATATCATTAGCCTTTGTAATCATCAAAGAAATACAAATCAGAACATGTGCTACCATTTCCATTATCCTATTAGCAACATTAAAATAATTTAAAAATTATAGTATTATTTTGTGACTGTAAAAATGAGCATTCATGTGCACAGAGACAGTGTAAGTGGACACCACATTTTTGGAGAGCAATTTAGCATTATGTGTGAAAATGCAAACTGTTCATAACCTGGGTAACATCTGATATGTATCTGATAATTGTACTTCTAGGAATTTATCTCAAGAAGAGCACACAAAGGGGTGAAAAATACACATGCACACAGATGTTCATTGCAGTGTTGTTAATAGTGAAAAATTAAAACAATCCAAATGTCCACCGACATAGAACTGGTTTAATATATTATATATATATGTACAATGGAATGTCATGTAATCATTACAAATTATAATAGAATATTTATTGACAATGATAGATATCAAAAAATATAATTGAGCAGGTTGCAAAACATCATTCTCGCTAGGATGCCATTTTCTTCCAGTAAAATTGAACATACACCTATGTAATCATAGATACATAAAGAAAAATTGGAGTGAATATTCTCCACAATAGTAAATGGTTGTTTCTAGATGGTGGGATTTTGGAGGAGTTTTGCTTCTTTGTATGTCTTTTTTGTTTAGAGTGTATTTCTTTTTTTTTACAGAAACTATGAAGAAATTTACATGCACACATATGTATACAAGCCATGAGAGGGAAATGGGAATGTACCTGAGAGTGTCGTCAAAGCGTACAGTGGCTGCACAGTGAAATATTATGTTTGTACAGGAGAGAAGCTCCTGCATGTCCTCTTTGCTGATGGCAAAGTCATTCTGATTGAGATCTGCATAAATAGCTCTGATCTTCTCATGCACATTTGGACAAACTTCTTTGACTTTCTCAAATAGCTGAAACATAAATATAGATCAATATACAAAAAATAGCACCATCATTATCACATTGTTCTTGTTTATAACAACCTGCTTAATTATACTCAAAAACTGGTTTTAGTTGTAATAACATTACTTAAAGAAGACATCTGGCTGGGCATGGTGGCATATGCCTGTAATCTCAGCACTTTGGGAAGCCAAAGCAGGGAGATCACTTGAGCCCAGGAGTTCGACACCAGCCTGCGCAACATGGTAAAAACCTGTCTCTACTAAAAATACAAAAAATTAGCCAGGCATGGTGGTGTGTGCCTGTAGTCCCAACTGCTTGGGAGGCTGAGATGGGAGGATCCCTTGATTGATTAATATTAGAAAAACTGTTAAAGATCTTTCTGGAAGAGTCAGAATGACCTCTTTGTTGAGAATGTGCCCAGGACACTTTATCAACCTTATCAATCCCAGATGTCAAAAGCATTGAGGACTGACCTAACTTCCAAATGATCTTCAGAATTGCAGTAACACACCACTGAAAAGGCTGGCCCTACAGTGCAGAAAAATGGTAGACAGAATTGAAATATGTTAACTTGCCAGATCAATATGTGGATTTCTTCCCTTTCCTAGTCATCTTCATTAAATCCTCAGAATGGCTTCTGAACATGCTCTTGCCTGATACAAATGAGACATGATTTCTCTGACTACTTGAGATCAACTTTTTATTACCCAATAAAAACACCCTGGGGTACATCTCTTCCAGAAAGATCTTTAACAGTTTTTCTAATATTAATCAATCATAAGCATGCTAAATGTTTTCTTCTAGAGTCAGATGTTTTCCCTCTTGATAGTTAATGTTAATTGTACAACAAACATATGTTGAATATTTTTGGGTAAGCTTATCTAAAATTTGTATAATTTTCTCTTTTTTGGTAACTGAATTTGGAGAAGACTCTTTTTGAGTCTACATGATATATTTTATTCACTAGAAATTTACTTAGGGTTCTGTGGACTCTTTCACTTTGGCCTGTGAAGACTTCTGACTACTGGAAAGCAAGAAGTAGGAGATGGTTTCAGCATCCACCCTTCTCACGATGGGGTTCCTTACATATGATGTAAGTAGTCATATTTAGATTTTCTTTTGCCTTTGGTTTTTATGACTTTAAAAGACAGAAGTTACTGCTATTCCATATTATACTTTCAGACAACCTGTGCAACGTTGAACAGCACCAAGATCCCATATTTGCATTACTTTTCAGGAGATCATTACAATTTTAGGAAATAATGTTCCAATCTGTGTTGTATCTGTTGCATTGTATTTTCAATCAAGAATGCATATCTGAATGAACATAGTACAATTTTTTAAAAGTCTGAGTTTTCTGATTTAGATAGTAGTTGATAATGTTCCACTGAAATAAATCAATGAATTGGCTGCATCAATTCAAACCACAGTACTAAATGAGGATTCCATTTTACTACATTAGCCTTGCTTAATAATAGGACTTGCCCTGTCAGGAATCTCACCATACCCCTATAGCTTCTAAAATAATACTCTTTAATAGTGCCATGTCCTGAATAGAGTGACAGAGATGGCAGCCAACTGGAATCCAACAGGTCAGTGGTTTTGGTCTTTTCATAACGCTGTCCACAAAGTGAACTGCATTGGAATCACTAGTAGCATAATTAAAATGTATATTCCTGGGTCCTATCCCATACCCACTAAATAAGAAATTACTAGGGCACACCCAGGAATCTGTATTTCACACCAAGTCCCCCAATTGATTTTAAGGCATGCAAATGATGAGAATTTCTCCATTTAGAGTGCAAACACGGACCATTGCAGATGAATAACTGCATACAACTCATTTCCCTTTATAACTGCCCAGAGCAATCTTCGCATCAGTAGCTTTCAAACTGTAGGCATGAAAAATCAAAGAACCTGGTTAAAAATTATTTCTTTATTCCACCCTCAGAGACCCTGGCTCAGTAGTTTTGTGTGTAACCTAGGAAATTGTATTTCTTAACCGCCTCTGCAGGTGGATCTGATGGTCCAGGTACCATAATTGGGAAACACTGACTCTGAAAAATTCATGTCTGTTCTTAAATTCAGGGCTTATATTTCCCCCTCTAGTTTGTAAACTCCTTGATTCTTTTTTTCTTTTGTAGGGAAACTCTTTCTATTTTTCTTTAATTTCTGTGGGTACATAGTAGGTATATATATTTATGGGGTACATGAGATGTTTTTATACAGGTATGCTATATGAAATAAGCACATCATGGAGAAGGGGTATCTATCCCTTCAAGCATTTATCCTTTGAGTTACAAGCAATCCAATTATACTCTTTAAATTATTTTAAAATGTACCATTATTATTGACTATAGTCACCCTATTGTGCTATCAAATAGTAGGTCTTATTAATTCTTCTATTGTTTGCCACCCTTTACCATTCCCATCCACCCCCTCCCACTTGCCTTCCCAGCCTCTGGTAACCATCCTTCTACTCTTTATGTCCATGAGTTCAATTGTTTTGATTTTTGTACCTGACAAATAAGTGAAAACATGCAATGTTTGTCTTTCTGTGCCTGGTTCATTTCACTTAGCATAATGACCTCCATTTCCATCCATGTTGTTGCAAATGACTGAATCCCATTCTTTTTGATGGCTGAGTAGTACTCCATTGTGTATATGTACCACATTTTCTTTATCCATTCATCTATTGATGGACACTTAGGTGGCTTCCAAATCTTAGCTAGTGTGAGCAGTACTGCAACAAATATGGGAGTGCAGATACCTCTTTGAGATACTGATTTCCTTTTTGTTGGGTATATACCTTGCAGTGGGACTGCTGGATCATATGGTATTTCTTTCTTTTTTTTTTTTTCTCAGACAGAGTCTCACTCTGTCACCCAGGCTGGAGTGCAGTGGCACAATCTTGGCTCACTACAACCTTCACCTTCTGAGTTCAAGTGATTCTCTTGCCTCAGCCTCCTGAGTAGCTGGGATTACAAGTATGCACCACCATGTCTGGCCAATTTTTGTATTTTTAGTAGAGATGGGGTTTCGCTACGTTGGCCAGGCTGATCTTGAACTCCCGACCTCCAGTGATCCACCCGTCTCAGCCTCCCAAAGTGCTGGGATTACAGGCATGAGCCACCACACCTGGCCCATATGGTATTTCTATTGTTTTTTGAGGAACATGCAAACTGTTCTCCGTAGTGGTTGTACTAATTTACATTCCTACCAACAGCATATGAGGGTTCCTTTTGCTCCACATCATTGACAACATTTTTTATTGCCTATCTTTTGGATATAAGCCATTTTAACTGGGGTGAAATAATATCTCATTGTAGTTTTGATTTGCATGTCTAATGATCAGTGATGTTGAGCACCTTTTTATATGCCTGTTTGTCTTTTGTATGTCTTCTTTTGAGAAATGGTTATTCAAATATTTTGCTCATTTTTTGATCGGATTATTATACTTTTTACTGTATAGTTGTTTGAGCTCCTTATGTATTCTGGTTATTAATCCTTTATCAGATAGGTTGTTTGCAAATATTTTCCCCCATTCTGTGGCTTGTCTCTTCACTTTGTTGATTGTATCCTTTGCTGTGTAGAAGCTTTTTAACTTGATGTGATCCCATTTGTCCATTCTTGCTTTGGTTGCCTGTGCTTGTGGGGTATTGCTCAATAAATTTTTGCCCAGACCAACGTCCTGGAGATTTTCCCAAATGTTTTCTTGTAGTAGTTTCATAGTTTGAAGTCTTAGATCTAAGTCTTTAATCCATTTTGATTTGATTTTTGTATATGGAGAGAGATAGAGGTCTAGTTTCATTCTGCTGTATCTGGATATCGTTTTCCCAACACCATTTATTGAAGAGGCTGTCTTTTCTGCAGTGTATATTCTTGGCACCTTTGTCAAAAGAGTTCACTGTAGGTGTGTGGATTTTTTTCTGAGTTCTCTATTCTGTTCTATTGGTCTGTGTGTCTGTTTTTATGCTGGTACCATGCTATTTTGGTTACCATAGCTTTGTAGTATAATTTGAAGTCAAGTAATGTGATTCCTCCAGTTTTATTCTTTTTTGCTCAGGTTAGCTTTGGCTATTCTCAGTCTTTTGCGGTTCCAAATAAATTTTAGGATTGTTTTTTTCTATTTCTATGAATAATGTTACTGATATTTTGATAAGGATTGCACTGAATCTGTACACTGCTTTGGATGGTAGTATGGACATTTTAACAATATTGATTCTTCTAATCCATGAACATGGAATACTTTTCTAGTTTTTGGTGTCCTCTTCAATTTCATTCATCAGTGTTTTATAGTTTTCATTATAGAGATCTTTCACTTCTCTGGTCAAGTTAATTCCTAGGTATTTAATTTTATGTGTGGCTATTTTAAAGGCTTTTTAAAAAATTTCTTTGTAAACTCCTTGATTCTTATTCATCTCTTTATGCCTGACAGTATGCCATTCATTGAAAAGACTCAAATTTTGCTTATTGAATTAAAATTAATTCCTGTAAGATCAGTAATAGAACTATTACTACAATAGAATGGAAGCCTGATTCCTGAAGTTTGTATGACTGTGATGAGAGATAGCAGATAGCGACTGCTAAACGAGGACACAAGTGTTTCCTGAGTCCTCTATATTAACTGCCAGTGGGAGCTTGAAGTAATGTAATTTCTCCAGTCTTTATAGCAGACCTTCTATTTTTATAATAATGACAAGACTGAAGGGACAAGATGAAATGGTGCAAATGGAACCTGGATAAGCACCAGCTCTTCTAAAAAAAATTTTCTTTTTGGTGTGTTTGTTGCTAATGTGAGAGATTAAAGTAAGAAAAATAGATGAAATCAAAATGAGTAAAGAAAAAACAGAATTTCAGAAATTTCATTGAAAGCCCACCAATAAAGAACAATATAATTATTTTAAATTCTAAGAGCTTATCCTGTTTCTTCTCATTGCATAAACTCATATTCTCTACTTGATGGCACAAGACTGAGAGGTAAATAGTTGGAAAGCTGCTCACCATCATCAAAACTCAAGCAGAGGGATTGCTGTTGATCCATTTTAGGAAACCTTGTTCTTTACAAGAGTAGGACACATTTCTGTGGTCACTGAAAGATACAGCTGAAAGGTGATCTAAGCATTTCAGATTGGAAACTTTGGGAGTGTTCCATTGACTTGCCATTACACAGGCAAGTATTTCTCTCCTTAATTTGTTTTTAAACATAAGATACTCTTCTAATTATATGAATAGTTACTTGTAGCCCAGAGGCAACAGAGAAACTGCAAACTCTTAAGTAAGAAAATTCAGCAGAAAGAGAAAACCAGAAAAAAAAATTTGTCTGGTTTAAATAAACTCCTTGGGTATGACTTCTGTAGTCAGACATCAAGACTGCATTTTTATTAGAAGTAGGAATTGGGGTGGGGGCATTACATTTATATAATGCTTTTGAAACAATCCAGAGGCCTTTAACATGGTCTCTTACAATGAACTAGTTAGCCACATGACCTCATTTTGTAAGTATCCACAGGAGATTTGCCCTCTACTTCCTGGGGCTCATTGAAGGTAATCTAATCTTTTCTAATCATGAGAATCTTTGATCTTTAATCATTTTACTACGTCTTTCTCTTCAAAAAGTCTTTCTCTTCAAAAATAACTACATTATGTAGTCCCAATAACCCACCAAAATTTGCTTAATTTTTTTTGGAAAATAAATGAGTAAGGTTGCTTAAACTAAGGGGCAATCTCTGTGGAATATTTGGTGTCCCAAGGTGAAAGAGACACTGTAATTTTTTTTAGAGAATTTTTAGAGTGCTGAGTAAAAACAAATCAATGAATTCTGCAAATTAGCTTTAAGTTGAAAACAAACACAAATAAGTTCGTTAATTTAAGCAAAAACCATTATACCCAATGTACAGATTAACAAAAATTCACAAAATGTTAAAATTGTTGCTAGTTCACTAGTAACTCTCATAAGATGTAAAGGATTAATCTAGACGTTTTTAGTGCTTTAGCGAAGACCGTTTCTATAACTCCATAAGGCAGCATGGTGTAGTAGTATGGCTGTCAACTTTCGGCATATAGCAGGGTTGCCCAGGAAGTTGCTCAAACAAACAAACCTATGTCCTGACCCTGAAGATTCTCATTCAACAGTTATTAGTCCAAGCTTGGGCATCTATCTTTTCTTTGAACATGGTCTCTAGTAATTCTGATATACCCTGAAGTTGAGAACCATTGGTGTATTGGAAAGAGCTCAGGCCCTTAGGAGTCATGAAATATTATATTTGAATTCTGATTCTGCCATTGATTTGCTATGTGACTGGGGGAAGTTACTTACCTCTCTGGGTCATTGTGTTTTTGCATATTTATCTAAAATGCCAACCACCTGACTATCGTATTCTGTGACCTCAGAGAATTAAGCATATATTATGCTGTTCTTAAAGACAATTTTGCATTTAAAATCGTATTCTGTGACCTCAGAGAATTAAGCATATATTTTGCTGTTCTTAAAGACAATTTTGCACTTAAAATCGTATTCTGTGACCTCAGAGATTTAAGCATATATTATGCTATTCTTAAAGACAATTTTGTATTTAACAAAATTTTAGTTCACTTTACATAATATTCTACAATAAATGCTAAAGGCAACACAGTGCTTGATTCATCATCTGGTTATGTTTTCTTTTCCCCACACCAAAGATCAATTTCACAGTCCTTTGAGAATTGTTTCTTGCATCTGGGCAGGAAAAGAGCTAGGGTGGCTAGGAAGATGGAGACCAAACTTAAGATTATTTCTACTCTCCAACAGAACTGGTGGCATCTCTGCATTATCCATGCTAGAGGATGGAAAAAACACTGATATTAACTCAGAAATGGCAAGCAATAGTTTCACTTTCCTCATGATATTGTCATCGAGGAAGAAATTTCCTAGGGGAGGCAATGCAGTACAATAGGGAAAGTATGGACTTAGAGATTAGAGACCTGCATTCCAATTTTGCTGTATCACTTGGCACAAATTACATAACCTTGGAGAGATGACAACTGTATCTCATCTGTGATGTAGGAATAGGCATACTGCAGAGATTTCTGAGGATTCGTGTAATGAAAGTCAGATGTTTGTCATAGTGCCCACCGCTTTGTAGTTCCCTAATAATAGGAAAATTCCCTTTCTACTTCCACAGCAATACTCCATTTCCAAAAACTGCTGATCAGAAAGCTGTGTTGTGTGTGTGTGTATGTGTGTGTGTGTGTGTGTGTGTGTCTGTGTGTGTGTTGGGTCATGCCAACGTTTCTGATTTTATCCTGTGATCCAGATACTTCTAAGAACAAAATGTATGCCAAAATCATGTTGAACCTCATGGCTTGGTAACTTTTTTTAATGAAATTAGTATGGGCAATTTGAAGCTTTTTTTAAGACTGAAGCTCTGTCACCAGGCTGGAGTGCAGTGGTGTGATCTCGGCTCACTCCAACCTCCACCTCCCAGGTTCAAGTGATTCTCCTGCGTCAGCCTCCCAAGTAGCTGGGACTACAGGCACGTGCCACTACACCCAGCTAATTTTTGTATTTTTAGTAGAGACGGGGTTTCATTATGTTGGCCAGAATGGTCTCGATCTCCTCACCTTGTGATCTGTCTGCCTCGACCTCCCAAAGTGCTGGGATTACAGGCATGAGCCACCAAGCCCGGCCAATTTGAAGCTTTTAAGAAAAAGACTTAATGTGATTGGAAGAGATTTTTTTCCTTCCTTCCTTCCCTCCTTCCCTCCCTTCCTTCTTCCCTTCCTCCCTTCCTTCCTTCCTTAAAGTAAATGGCCTGCAGGGGAGAGGTTGAACATCCTTCAGCTGATCTGACTTGAGTAACAGGAAAACTGAAAACTGCTTACACTAGAGGCCTCTTGCTTTTTGTGGGATAGTTTCTTAGTCCTTTGGAGGGGCGGGGCGTAAAACAGTAATGGAACACAACTGGCTTTGGAAGTTTAAATGCAAATATTTCCAATTTTGGAAGTTTTAATGCAAATGTTTCCAATTGCCTTTGCCTTATGTAGAGATTTAACAGAATCATTAATGTCAATCAGAAATTCATTTTTGGAAGTTGAGAACAAGCAGCTTTTATACAGCGAAGCATGAACACACTTTTTTTTCCCTACAAAAGAGTCTGAAAATTAACAAGAAACTTAGCAGTAATGCGGCCGGGCGCGGTGGCTCACGCCTGTAATCCCAGCACTTTGGGAGGCAGAGGCAGGCAGATCATGAGGTCAGGAGATCGAGACCATCCTGGCTAACACAGTGAAACCCCGCCTCTACTAAAAATACAAAAAATTAGCCGGGCGTGGTGGCGGGCGCCTGTAGTCCCAGCTACTCGGGAGGCTAAGGCAGGAGAATGGCGTGAACCCGGGAGGTGGAGCTTGCAGTGAGCCGAGATCGCGCCACTGCACTCCAGCCTGGGCGACAGAGCGAGACTCCATCTCAAAACAAACAAACAAACAAACAAACAAAACAGTAATGCTTCTACTGTGTGCTTCTTTCATTGGTGGGCTTTTCTTTGAAGATGTTTTCTAATTCAAAGTTTTTTGTTTTGTTTTTGTTTTCTTAGTTCGAAGTTAATTTGTTTACCTCTTAAAGATTAATTTATCTAAGCCTTCTGGGAACTGCCAGTGATAGTCTCAAAAGGATTCAATAAACTAGTTCATAAAATGTCCCTGTCTTCTATTGTCTTAAATCTAATCATGTTCTGTGAACTGTGGACCCAGTGTGTAACCCTGCGTGATTTATCACCCAGAGTTCTCTACTGTATTTCAAAGTTGATTTACCTCAGGGGCAACTGAGGGTTTACTGAGTAATTCAGATTTTTCCAGAGAAACTGGTTTGAAGGATCCAGTGCAACCTGCCTAGCTCTGTCTTTGTTTATAAACCCACTTACTGGTGATATCATTCAAGATAGTCCCTCTCTAAAAACCTTGAATTTTGTCTGGTCTTCTCGGATGAGGAATTCTCAACCTGGTACAATCTCATTCTAACTCTTCTCTTATATACTAAGTACTCAAACTATATACTTTACTATAACTTAACAGGAAAAGGTTGACCATTTTTGGTATTATCTCAATGATACATTTTTCAGTGTCTGAGCTCACACTCATTCCTAAGTAGCTACATCACTTTTAATAATTTCTACTACTTAGGGTTTTATTCCCTTGGTATAGATACTGTCCTTTCAATGTTTTCTTAAGGAATTATTGAGAGTAGATTATTAGCAACTTAAGATCCTAAACAGATAGACGTGGGACATGGTTGTTGTAAAAAGAAACATATCGGTAAGACACTAGGAAACTCGAAATGCTTTCAACATTTCTTTGAACTTTACTACTGAATGATTTATTTGCAACTCATTATCTGGTATAGTGGGGAAAAGCCATCCATGTCTTTTTAAGCCAAGACATATTTAAGACAATAATAAAGCTAAAATATCAATTGCACTATCTACATTTGCTTTTGACACAATGAAAAGCTGATTGGTTCATAATTACATGAGCATATTTTCCATAAGTAAGAGATGAAACAGCAGCTCGGAAACCCTTGGTCTGTGGTGAGCATGTTCACATTTCAACACACGAAATTTGGTGTGCGAAATTTACCTAGCAGCTCCTCAGATTTTATGAAAAACTAGATGATAATTTTTTAAAAAGCAATGTTGAATACTTAGAATCATATTTCTAATAAAAATAAGTCAAACTATTTAATTTTGATAAACAGTTTCAAAACTAAAAATGAACTGAACTTATACTTGATGACATAATTTTGTAAATTCATGATTGATTTCTGCCTTATTCTGATTTATTTACTACTTTACAAGATAGGTGTTTCTTTTCTTCCACTGTAAAAGTGTAATGTGTTCATCGTATTTGGAAAATGTGGAAGATAGAAGATTACTGTTCTTATTTTTTCACTATTATAAAGGGTAATTTTTCCTCACCATAGAAGTAGCATAATCATAATTCTAATTTGAAAATTTGAAAATGCAAAAAAATTGTAATCCAAGATCACAACAACATTTAGGGCTAATAGTTGAGATTATACTGAATATAGTTTTGCATCTGTTTTTGCACCAATATATTACAAGGCTTTTTGTGTCATTTACTATTTTATAAAACATGATTCTTAATGCCTGGATACTTGTCTAACACTTGTATATATTGTTTATTTAGTCATTCCTCTATTGTGGAACATTTAAATTGGATCCAAGTTTACTATAAGTAATACTACAATAAAAATATCTATACATTATTTGTGGTGTCTCTGGCTGTTGTCTTGGAGTGACACCTTAATTATCTTTGTGAGAAAGTCCTCAAGAATCCTGCCATTAATTCATATACTTTCCCCCCACTGGTATGTCCCTTTAAGTGCTCTGAAAATACTTAAGAAACTTAGTAATAAGAAAGAAAATTAATCTTCTTTTTCGATTCTTCACTTCTAGTTCTCTGTGGCCAATGGATTTTTTAAAATCCCTTTGTCTAGAGCATCTCCCATTTAATAGTTTCTCTTTGACAGCAGGGAAACTGGAAGTCAGATGTGATATCTATGCATACCATAAAAGGAAAAGAAGGAAGCAGATGTCTGAATTTTGATACATAGAACAGATGTCCTTTTGATCACATTTCCTGGGGGATGTAGTTGTAATCAAAGGCCAACTGGTAACATTTTTGGTTACTATGTTTTAAAAAAAAATTTCCAAGCCTCACATAGCTGACATGGTTTATTACCTTCAGGAACACTGTAGTACTTGCAGTGAGTTAGAATTCATTCATTATTATGTGTGACTGGAGAGATGTATTGCTTAAAAGCTATACCAGGCCCTACTTAGGAATAAGTTACAACTGCATTAAATCACTCTGTTTGTGTCAAACTCGTTAAAGTTAAATGGCAGAATCTAGAGGGGGACTTGATTAACATGAGATAATAAATATTTGCAGAATCTGATGCCTACCAGAAGAAACTCTGACCCAGACAGGATCATTGCATAAGAGGTTGGTTTTAGAAGTAGAGTTGGCTGAAATTAAAGTCTCGAGTGACATGAAGACAGTGTTAAAGATAAATCCAAACTCTTCTTTATTGCTTGACACTTTTCCAATCAGCATTGACTTCATTCCTGGCAAGCTGATGTAACATGGTGAGTTCTACCTCATTTTATACTTTATTTGGTTAGGATATGGGGGAGGGGGTAAAGGTGCAGGTTGGTTATTTAAAATGTGCAGTCACCTCCACCAACTTTCCAATATAGGGCTATTACTTAAGGGAATACACCCATAAAACTTTGATTTTCTAGTAATTCTGCTTTTGTGCATTCCTAATTTAAGACTCAGTGAGGGTGAAAGAGTTTTAGATTTGGCAAACACTGCACTATTTTCTTGAATTTTTTGGATTTGCTAAAACCAATAACAAATTTATTACCCAATTTTTTTTTCCTTTAACTTTTCCGTGTGTTGCCACTGAATCCTCCACATCTGGTTCAGTGCTTGACACTTAGTAGGCACTCAGCCAACACTTATTGAATGAACAAGTTTAATGCATTCCAGTTTTTTTTTTTTTTTAGGTGATGTTGTGCCTAATGTATACACCTTCTTTCTTTCACTTCTTCATTAATCCTTTTGTTCATGTCTTTTACTTATGCCAAGCTGTCACATTGTGTGCATGAACCAAACGATTTATTTTTTCTCCCACAGCCCCAGAGTCCGCAAATGACAGACCTTAAACCTAAAACACCCATTAGTTTCCGTCTTTACTCTTGCAGAATGAGTTATGAAGCCAAAGATCGCAAGAAGAGCACACTTCTTAACAGCCACTTCAGAGGTGACAGCCAGGGAATAAGAAATAAGGAAGAACTTTCCAGAGGATGGAGCCACCACAAATAATAATGGAAAAGAAGGTTCCTCCCAGAGATTAGATTTAGAGGCTATTTAAGGAATTTCCCCACTCCCAGTGTAGGAAGCTTCTCAATACTCGCTAATCAGGATTTCCTTATGGTTATATTCTAGGGACTGCTGCTTGCCTGCCTGTCTTCTCTTTTTTGAATAGAAGGTGTCTTTGTTTGTTTGATTTTATTTTTTCTTCAACTTCGCTGTTCTACAATGACAAGAGATAGAACAGAGACATTTTCTACCTCAACATTGGGAGGCAGAAAATTCACCTTTTTATCCAAGAATACCAAACCAGAAGCTGAAATATCTGGATCTGATAGAGAGGATAGTCTATTCCCCCTTGGACTTTGGACTGGATGCAATAATGGTATGAGACCCTGGGGTAGGAATGAGTGTCTTCTATGTGTGGGAAAGAGAGGAAAGCAGATATTTGGCGACCTAAAAAGAAGGCCATGGCAGAACCTCATTAGTTGTTCAACAATCCTATTTTCCTTTTCTCCTGGACACACAGCTATGCATTTTCCAGCCATCCTTGTGGTTAGATGCCCAGTGACAGTTCTGAGAATGGAATATGGACAGATGTGATAGGCACTTCTGGGCCTGGGCCACAAAAACCTTCCACATGATGTCCAGTGCCTCTTTTACCCCACTGACAGTTTTTTATTGTCATCCAGAGAGACCTTGGATGGTTTAGAAGCCATGTGTAGAAGATGGCAACCTTCCCTTAGCATGGATCCTTGAATGACTGTGGAGTGCAATGCCTTCTACCAATTACACCTACTGTGTTTGAGAATCAAATTTCATTTGTATTAAGCTACTGATTTGGGGGGTTTATCTCCTTCAGCACCCACATTAGTACAACTCATGCAGAATGGAGAGTTAATGTGAACACATATGGCACAGACTGGTGAAACCTAGGACTTTAAGATGATAGATGAATTTCTGATTATACTTTCCTTTCCCGCAAAAAGTTTTTTTCAAATTAAATGTTGTAATATAAATGTGAATTCTTAAATATCTTTCTAATGAAATGATGACTAACTATAGAAAAGAGAATGCAGGAATATATACATCCTTGATAAGAGTGTGAAACTGTTACAGGCAATCTAGAGGGTCTTGCCTAGGGATAACGAACAAAATAACATACCTGGGTAAAAGAAATGAGAGGTTACTGATAAAAAACTAACATTTAGCCGGGAGTAGTGGCTCATGCCTGTAATCCCAATACTTTGGGAGGCCGAGGCAGGCAGATCGCCTGAGGTCAGGAGTTTGAGACAAGCCTGGCCAACATGGTGAAACCCCATCTCTATCAGAAATACAAAAATTAGCTAGGCATGGTGGCGGGTGCCTGTAATCCCAGCTACTTGGGAGGCTGAGGCAGGAGAATCACTTGAACCCGGGTGGTGGAGGTTGCAGTGAGCAGAGATTGTGCCACTCCACTCCAGCCTGGGTGACAGAGCTAGACTTCATCTCAAAAAAAAAAAAAATTATATTGCACAATATAAAACATTATTTTATACTTAGGATCACATTTGATCTTTGCAAATCCATATGAAATAGCTATTATTATCAGATACAGTTTATGAATAATAAAAACAAGACTCATATGGGTTAGGTAACTAGGCCATGGTCTCTCTACCAAGCTCTATCTCTCTGATTGAGGAGAGAGTATCTAGAGCATCAGTGTTCTTTTTACTGCCTTATGCTACCTCCCAGTACAGGTATAACAACTAAACCTACAAGTAACCTGCAATTGAGGGTTTAGACTTTTAGCATCTTTAACCATCCAAAACATAGCTGTGGGACCAAAAAGCAAAAAACAGTTTACAAAAGCCCATATTTATTGCACCAAGAAAAAGCCATGTCTGTGAAATATTGCTTAGAATTTGTGTACTAAACTCAGCATAATGAATTAACAAACTCAGTGACCTCATTTTCTCCTAGATTACAATAAATGGAAGACTTAAAATGATGAGAAAAATAAACACAGAAAACCTCAATTAACAGGGTAGAGGATGACCTATTGAAAGATTGGGCATTCATGTGTGGGAGGTAAAGGCAAGTCCTGTGAGTGGTAGGCAGTCCGAGGCAAGTGTTCTCTCTTTTTGTTGTTTGATTCTAAATTTATGACAACTGAAGAAAGGGCCTTGGCCTGGTCTGGATCAACTTGGTATGGAGCCCATGAGAAATGAAAGATGATTCATAAACATACCTAATTCATCCCAGGCAACAGCAGAAATGACCATGAAAAATGAGCCATCTGAGAATTCTCAACGATTCTTGGAGAATGTCATTAATTACATTTTTATTACAGGGCAGGGATGCCCAAGCTGACATATGGGTTACAAAGGCAAAGTAGAATTTCCCTCTATGGGTTTTGTTAATGTAAAATATAAATTAATAAGCTTTTTGCTTTTACTAATATGAAACATACCCATCAATTAGTTGTCTTCAATTCAGAAAGAACTAAACTAGAGTTCGATAGTATCTTAAATCCAAAAAATAAAAATAAAAACCCAACCAGCAGCCATTTGCTGAATTCCTGAGTGCTTAGGAGTCTCCATTTCTAGTCTAGCAAATGTCTTCCAGTTGCAATTTTAAACATTTTTCCCAGATCTTTCAAGAAACCTGTAATAGTATCAAGTCCAGCACACAAAGCTAGCTTTCTGTAAGCAATCAGTCTCATCTACCCACCTTTACTTTATACAGCCTCCTAAATTCAACCTTAGAATAAAAAGTACTTTTTTGTTGTTAAAAGTCTGTTCTCTAGCCAGGTGTGGTGGCTCATGCCTGTAGTCCCAGCACTTTGGGAGGCTGAGACCAGAAGATTGCTTGAAACCAGGAGTTTGAGATCAGCCTGTACAATGTAGTGAGACCACCATGTCTTAAAAAAAAAAAAATTAAAAACAATAGCTGGGCATGGTGTCACATATTTGTGGTCCCAGCTACTTGGGAGGCTGAGGTGGGTGGATCACGTGAGCCCGGGAGGTTGAGGCTGCAGTGAACAATGATCATGCAGTGCCCTCCAGCCTTAGTGATAAGAGTGAGACCATGTCTCAGAAATTTAAAAAAAGTCTATCCTCTGCCTCTAAGGGACTTTGTTGTTATAAAACTACTGAAAATTTGTATAAATATATCTTATTAAATATAAACATATTTTATTAAAACTATTGAAAATATATATAAACCAGGTGTGGTGGCTCACACTTGTAATCCTAGCACTTTGGGAGACTGAGGCAGGAGGACTGTTTGAGGCCACAAGTTCAAGACCAGCCTAAGCAACATAGTGAGATCCCATCTGTACAAAAATTTGAAAATTAGCCAGCTTTGGCAGTGTGTGCCTGTATTCCCAGCAACTCAGGAGGTTGAGGCAAGAGAATCCTTTGAACCCAGGAGTTTAAGGTTACAGTGAGCTGATTGTGAACTGTACTCCAACCTGGGCAACAGAGTGAGACCCTATCTCAAAAAAAAAAAAAAAAAAAAGAAAGAAAATATGTACAAATGAATGTTTTAAATTGAAACAATTACTATAGCACCAAAATGCTCATTCGATGAGATGGAAATTTCTTCTTAAATGTCTATTTCTCATTTTGCAGCAAAGGCATGATTATACTTCTATAAATTTTTGCCTTACATAGTCAGATAGAAGCATGCAAAGTAGGCAGAGCCTAGGCATCTACCTGAAAGAAATGCCCTCCTGCATTTTCTTGAACATATTAACTCTTCCTGAGCTCCAGTGGCACTATCTCTGGAGTCCTTTTCCGGCAGATAATTTTAAAGCAGGCGTCACTTGTTATTTTCTCTCTCAAATTGCCGTGTTCTTTGTCTTCACAGTACTTTTGAAAATACTTAAATATACATGTGTTTCTTATGAAACTCGTTTGCCTCACTGGACTTTAAGATCTGTGAGGCCAATTCCATGCCTGTTTTATTTTCTACTTTATTGCCCCTGTTCCCCAGGCACAAAGCAATAAGTGCCTGACATACATTTGGCTCTCAATAAATACTTGTCATATTTGTGTGCTTGTTCAACTTTTCTCACTCTTTTTGTGTGTAGGTGTGTACTTTCTTGTTATTTCTGGACACTTACGGATTTCCTTATTTTGCCTCAAGGTCAGCTATGCATTAAAACTATTTTATGGCCAGGCGTGATGGCTCATGCCTGTAATCCCAGCACTTTGGGAGGCTGAGGTGGGTGGATCACGAGGTCAGGAGTTCAAGACCAGCCTGGCCACGATGGTGAAACCCCGTCTCTACTAAAACTACAAAAATTAGCCAGGCGCGGTGGCAGATGCCTGTAATCCCAGCTACTCGGGAGGCTGAGGCAGGAGAATCGCTTGAACCCAGGTGGCAGAGGTTGCAGTGAGCTGAGATAGAGCCACTGCACTCTAGCAGCTGGGTGACAGAGTGAGACTCCGTCTCAAAATAAATAAATATTTTATAAAAAACGTATTTTATCTATTTTTTTTTTTGAGACAGAGTTTCACTCTGTTGCCCAGGCTGGAGTGCAGTGGCACATACACACACATATATATATATAATCTAGAGATTTTACATATATATATATATAAAATCTAGAGGTTTCTTTCACCTTTCAAACATAGCTCATCCCCATAACTTAAAAAATATAAAAAAATACAATTTTATCTGTCTTGTCTTTATTTTGAATTTTCAATTTCAAAGGGAATACAAGCAATAATATCTTGAATCTCATAGATGGCCAGTAACTACTTCTTGCATAATTCCTTATTTGCACAGAGCTTTATCCACAGCCAATCAGCGATAGCATTCTTATATTCTGAAGCATACACAATTTTGTAGCAAAAACTTTTCAGTTTTGGGATACGCAGCAATAAAATCAAGCACATATTTTTTTCCATGGAAAATCTCTTTACAGGTATCAGATTCCATATAGTGACAAGAAAGTAGATATTTGCATAGCTAATGGCTTGTGCATTAATAATCAGGTGATAGAATCTGTTCTTGTTACCCACAAAATGGCCATGTAGACATGGTTTGTGATCTACCGTAGATGTGTTTTTCAACTATATTATACACATCAGATTCCCTTCCTCCCACAACTCTTTGAGGGAAAAATTTATGGGAAAAAAAACACTTCTTTTTT
This sequence comes from Homo sapiens, assembly GCF_000001405.40. Classification (NCBI taxonomy): domain Eukaryota; kingdom Metazoa; phylum Chordata; class Mammalia; order Primates; family Hominidae; genus Homo; species Homo sapiens. The sequence continues at coordinate 29,276,290 of NC_000012.12, read as the reverse complement.
TGGCATAACTTAGTATACAGCCTAACTTAGTAAAAAGTGAGGCCCTAGGAAATAGTGGTAAAAGCCATACCTTAAATCCAGAAAGGCTTGAGGGCAAGAGAGAAAGACGCAGAGACTCCCTGGGTAAGCAAGGTATTATTACAGCATTTTACAGATAAAGAAACCAAGGCTCAGCAAAGTATATATCTAGTCCACTATCACACAACTCACAATTGGTCGTATGGAGATTCACACCCAGGTCTGTCTGCCTCTGAAGCCCAGGCTGTTAAGTACCATCTGATCACAACAGATAGTTCTCAGGTGATCTTGAATGCTGCTGATATTGGGACCACACTTTGAGAACCACTGTTCATAAAAGTCAACAGCTGACAGTAAATAGCCCAATAGTGAAAACAGGTGCTGAGATTTGCAAGGCAGTTTCACAGATAAGTTACATAGAGTATAATCACGATTTCCAGAACAAAAGCAATGTTGCCGTGTTATAAAAAACACTGCATTGAAAGAAGCAGTAGGTAAAGATTGGGTTGACCACAAGACTCTCTGCCACAATATTTATCTAGAAATGCATAGTTGGCAACAAAGCTCCCAGACTAACACGAAACGTCTACTATGTGAGGAAAACAAAGTCCAGAGGTGCGACCAAGATGGCCTACTAGAAGCAGGGGTGATTGGAGGCTCCCATCGAAAAACAAACATAACACTTTTACACTGTTGGTGGGACTGTAAACTAGTTCAACCATTGTGGAAGTCAGTGTGGCGATTCCTCAGGGATCTAGAACTAGAAATACCATTTGACCCAGCCATCCCATTACTGGGTATATACCTGTCAGGCCTCTGACCCCAAGCTAGGCCATCATATCCCCAGTGACCTGCACGTACACATCCAGATGGCCGGTTCCTGCCTTAACTGATGACATTCCACCACAAAAGAAGTGAAAATGGCCTGTTCCTGCCTTAACTGATGACATCGTCTTGTGAAATTCCTTCTCCTGGCTCATCCTGGCTCAAAAGCTCCCCCATTGAGTACCTTGTGACCCCCACTCCTGCCTGCCAGAGAACAACCCACCTTTTTCCTTTACCTACCCAAATCCTATAAAACGGCCCCACCCCTGTCTCCCTTCGCTGACTCTCTTTTCGGACTCAGCCCGCCTGCACCCAGATGATTAAAAGCTTTATTGCTCACACAAAGCCTGTTTGGTGGTCTCTTCACATGGACGCGCATGAAATTTGGTGCCAACCTGAGGTCATAGGTGGATCTTTCTCATGGAGCAAAGAGCAGGAGGACGGGATTGATCTCCCAGGGAGGTCCCCCGATCCGAGTCACGGCACCAAATTTCATGCGCGTCCATTTGAGGAGACCACCAAACAGGCTTTGTGTGAGCAACAAGGCTGTTTATTTCACCTGGGTGCAGGCGGGCTGAGTCCGAAAAGAGAGTCAGCGAAGGGAGATAGGGGTGGGGGCCGTTTTATAGGATTTGGGTAGGTAAAGGAAAAAGGGGGATTGTTCTCTGGCGGGCAGGAGTGGGGGTCACAAGGTACTCAGTGGCGGAGATTTTGAGCCAGAATGAGCCAGGAGAAGGAATTTCACAAGACAATGTCATCAGTTAAGGCAGGAACAGGCCATTTTCACATCTTTTGTGGTGGAATGTCATCAGTTAAGGCAGGAACCGGCCAGCTGGATGTGTACGTGCAGGTCACAGGGGATATGATGGCTTAGCTTGGGCTCAGAGGCCTGACAATACCCAAAGGATTATAAGTCATGCTGCTATAAAGACACATGCACATGTATGTTTATTGCGGCACTATTCACAATAGCAAAGACTTGGAACCAACCCAAATGTCCAATAATGATAGACTGGATTAAGAAAATGTGGCACATATACATCATGGAATACTAGGCAGCCATAAAAAATGATGAGTTCATGTCCTTTGTAGGGACACGGATGAAGCTGGAAACCATCATTCTCAGCAAACTATCACAAGGACAAAAAACCAAACACCACATGTTCTCACTCAGAGGTGGGAACTGAACAATGAGAACACATGGACACAGGAAGGGGAACATCACATACCGGGGCCTGTTGTGGGGTGGGGGGAGGGGGGAGGGATAGCATTAGGAGATATACCTAATGTTAAATGACGAGTTAATGGGTGCAGCACACCAACATGGCACACGTATACATATGTAACAAACCTGCACACACGTACCCTAAAACTTAAAGTATAATTAAAAAAAAGAAAAAGAAAAACAAACACAATAACCGTGTGAATCCTTCGCCAGCAACAGAGTTATCCAGGTTCTCTCATCAAAATTGACTAGAAGGCTGGTGTGACCCACCAAGAGAAGGAAGAGCAGTGTGGTGCGGTGGCCCACCTGAGAGCCACACGGCGAAGGGGAGTCCCCTCTCCCCAGCCAAGGGAGGTGGTGAGTGAGCATGCTACCCGGCCCGGGGAACTGCTTTTTCCATGGAACAGTGCAACCTATGGGTCAGAAGAGCCCACTCCGGAACCCAGGCCACCAGGGCCTACCATCCCAACCTGAGAAAGTGCAGATTCTTACAGCCTCTCAGCTAAAATCTGCTTAAGCCTACTGAACTCCTGGGGGCAGAGGGGCGACGAGCCCTGGCTGCCATCACCTGCTGTCTAAGCCATTTGAGCTCCTTGGGGGAGGGGCAGCAGCCAGCACTGGGACTGGCAACTGCCTAACAGGCTAAGCTCCCTGGGCAGGGGAAGGGTGGCACCCATTTCTATAGCTCCAGGCTGTGCTTTTCCCCTGCTAGTGCCAGGAAGGCTGGATGGCTTGGTCCCAAGACTTGTCCCCACAGCCCTACACACCGTGGCAGCCACACACACACTGTGGCAGTCTGCGGCCAGAGTGCCTCTTCAGGCCTAACCCCCACCCATCCTTCCTCGTTGGTGGGGGAGGGGCTTCCCTGCAGGATCTCCAATAACTCTAGCCAGAGGCTTAGGAACAGAATTCTGATCTCCCTGGTCCTGAGCCCCTAAGGGGAGAGGTGGCTGCAGTCTCTGTGGACCAGCAGACTTAGCCTCTCCTCCTGGTAGTTCTGAGGAATCAGGGCAACCCAGACAAGTGGGTTTCCCCCCAGTGAAACACACCCTCTCCACCAAGGGACAAAGTGGTTCGTTAAACGGTCCTACTCCCAATGCCACAACAGGGTGAGACCTTCCTACAGGGGTTGTCAGACACTCTATACAGGAGCAATCCTACTGGCATCAGGCTGGTGCCCCTCGAGGTCAGAGGTCCCAGGAGAAGGAGCAGGGACCCATCTTTGCTGCTCTCCAGCCTCTTTGAGTGACATCTCCAGGCACAGCAGAAAATCAGATGAATAAGGCCTGAAGCGAATGCCCAGCAAACTGCAGCAGCCCTGCAGAAGAGGAACCTGACCATTGAAAGAAAAACAAGCAGAAAGCGACAACAACATCAAGAACAACAACAACAAAAAGGCCCACACAAAAACCCTATCCAAGGGTCAGCAGCCTCAAAGACTGAAACTAGACAAACTCACAAAGATAAGAAAGAATCAATGGAAAAAATGCCAAAAACCCAAAAGGCCAGAGTGCCTCTTCTCCTCCAAATGATCACAACATCTCTCCATCAAGGATGCAGAACTGGACGGAGGATCAGATGGACAAATTGACAGAAGTAGGCTTCAGAAGATGAGTAATATAAAACTATGATGAGCTAAAGGAGCATGTTCTAACCTAAAGCAAAGAAGCTAAGAATCTTGATAAAAAGTTAGAGGAATTGCTAACTAGAATAACCAGTTTAGAGAGGAACGTGAAGGACCAGATGGTGCTGAAAAACACAGCACAACAATGTCGTAAGGCATACACAGTTATCAGCAGCTGAATCAACTGAGTGGAAGAAAGGATATCAGAGTTTAAAGACCACCTTACTGAAATAAGATGCCGACAAGAATAGAGAAAAAGGAATGAAAAGGAATGAACAAAGCCTCCAAGAAATATGGGACTTCATAAAAAGACCAAACCTACAATTGATTGCAGTACCAGAAGGAGACGGGGAGAATGGAAACAAGCTGGAAAACACATTTTAGGATATTATCCAGGAAAACCTCCCCAACCTAGCAAGACAGGCCAACACGCAAATTCAGGAAAAACAGAGAACACCATTAAGATACTCCATGAGAAGATCAACCCCAAGAAAACAAAGTGCATTAGGGGTAGATAACTGAGAAAAACTGCCTGAAGAGGGATCTGGGAATTTATTCTAGGTTTTGGTTCTATGTCATATCAGCCTTTTAAGAACCATTAGTTATCCCGAAGGCAGTGTGGGGCAGGAGCAAGTGTGCTGGCCTTAGAGTCAGGCTGTAGGGTTGGAAATCCAATTTTTCCTCTACTAGGTAGAAGACCTTTGGTAAGTTAAAGCTTCAGGCCTCAGTTTCCCCATCTATAAAATGAGAATAGTAATGGTTCTTACTTCACAGGGTTATTGCAAAGATACATGAAGTAAGGTGTGAAAAGACCTTTGGATAGTAGGTGCCATGTACTAAGTATCCAGTAAATGTTAGCTGTTAGGATTATTTTGTCCCACTGCTGAGTCAAGCCATGAGATGTGAGGCTTTTCCAATTTGCTTGATGATGGTTTGTAACAAAATCGTATTCTGTTGCAAGCAGATAAATTTGATCATCAGTGTTTCTGGGCAGTCTACAATGTGCTGTGCTAACAGATACATGTGCATCATAGATGTTAACATTCCTACACACTGGAAAGGAGATTGTAAAAAAAGGAACTCTGAATTTTCTTATTGCCAATCTTATGTCACCCCCTATATTCCAAAGTGCATTATGAACAACATATGTACATTTTCTCATTTAGTTCCTATGAAATTAGTTGTTGTTTTTATTTAAAACATTGGAAAGTTTGAAAATCTAAAATCTGAAGGTTAAGAGGTGATATGACAACAAATTCATAAGCCAGAATTTGAACCCAGATATGTTTGAGACCCAAGGTTATACTGCCTTGAAATTTATAAATTAAAACATGAGAGAATATGCATAATGTCTTTTTTTTCCGAGAGGAGAGAGGGTTTGATATCCAAATGCTCATTCACAGATGTAATATTTTATTTCCAATGTTTTTACCTTAGAAGAACTTATTGGATAATAGAAATATCAAAAGTTCCCATAAATAAAATATATAACAGCTAAACCTTGTAGAGTTTAGACAACTGAAAGTATCACTGCATGGCTACTTAGTAGTCACATCTGCTCCCTAAGCAATAGAATAGAACAGAATAGAAGAATATCCAAAAAATTTGGGGAGGAAATCAACCTTAAATTTAAAAGAAAATTAGTGAAGAATTCAGATGAACTTGCAGCAGATATTAAGGCTGAAGCATCCACTCAGGGAGTTTGAGTATTTTGATAATTAGTAGTTTCCAGACATAGACAATCTCACCTGCCCTGGACTGAAACTAAGCACTCTTTTCCCTCCTTTGGGAAAACACCGATTTCCACCAGCAGCTTGTTGCTGTCTTGTTTTGTCTGCCTTCCTCTACCTGTGCAGGTAGCCTGGTCCCCACTTGCAATATGAGACTATAAGAGAACATTGTAGTGAATCATCTTGCCCTAAGGCATTGCCCATCACACACGCTTTCCTATAAGGCATACCTTACTGTCTAGGATCTGGAAAACCCTCTGCTGCAGTGTCTGGCCAGCCTTGGGCCTCACAAGGATGTAAATGACTTTCAGGTCTGGGCTGGTGCGAAACAGCTTCTCCATCAGCACTTTGCCCAGAAAGCCTGTGGCCCCCGTGATGAGAATGGACTTGCCGCCATAGAAAGCTGCAATTGTGGACATGATTCCTCCCTTTCTTTTATAGCTCCTGAAAGAGGTTCCTGAAAAGGAAGAGAAATAACAAAAGATTACATCTTCAGAAGTTCTCATATTCAAAGTCACTTAAAATGTTTCTGTTGCTTCCAAGAGCTTTGAATGCAGAAAAAAATAGGTCAGACAGTGAGAGCATCGTGGCTTTTAAGCAATACGACTCATTCCAATCAATATTTATTGAGTTCTCTCTACATGCTAGACTTTATGCCAGGAACTGTGAGCAAGAAATGAGAAAGACATGATTCCTGCTTTCAAGGAATTGCTTGCAGTCTAATGGAGGAGGCAGACAATAAAGAGACTGTTAAATACAATATAGTAAGTGCTAAAACAAAGGGAGACCTGAGAGGGGTACATAGAAGCATCTGGAAATTTCAAAGTGTCTGTGACATCTGAGCTGAAGCTTGGAAGGCAGAGAAGGGCTGGGGTCATGGTGTCCCAGGCCAAGGAAAGAGCAAGGGCAAAGGTGCAGTGGTGTGGCACAGCGTGCTTAGGGGAAATAAAGGGATGCAGTGTTACAGGACATAAATGAGAAGGTTAGGACTGGCCCAGCAGTTTGTGAAACCAAAGCTTAGAACAGCTATCAGGTTTTTTAAAATTATGATGTAATTAGAGTTTGAGTTTCAGATTTATTTAGAGAAAATACTGGAATAAATAATTGTTGCGGGAAGTCAAGGACCTTAAACAGAGGGACCGGCTGAAGCCATGGCAGAAGAACGTGGATTGTGAAGATTTCATAGACATTTATTAGTTTCTCAAATTAATACTTTTATAATTTATTATGCCTGTCTTTACTGCAATCTCTAAACATAAATTGTAAAGATTTCATGGACACTTATCACTTCCCCAGTCAATACCCTGGTGATTTCCTATGCCTGTCTTTACTTTAATCTCTTAATCCTGTCAGCTGAGGAGGATGTATGTCGCCTCAGGACCCTGTAATAATTGCATTAACTGCACAAATTGTACAGCATGTGTGTTTGAGCAATATGAAATCTAGGCACCTTGAAAAAAGAACAGGATAACAGAAATTGTTCAGGGAATAAGAGAAATAACCTTAAACTCTGACTGCCAGTGAGCTGGGAGGAACAGAGCCATATTTCTCTTCTTTCAAAAGCAAATGGGAGAAATATTGCTGAATTCTTTTTCTCAGCAAAGAACATCCCTGAGAAGGAGAATACGCGCCTGGAGGTATAGGCCTATGAACGGCCCCCCCAAGGTGCACCTGTCTTTTATGGTCAAGACTCTAGGGGTGAAATAGACCCCAGTCTCCTATAGCACTCCCAGGCTTATTAGGAAGAGGAAATTCCCGCCTAATAATTTTGGTCAGACCGGTTGCTGTCAAAATCCTGTCTCCTGATAAGATGTTATCAATGACAATGGTGCCCGAAACTTCATTAGAAATTTTAATTTCACCTTGGTCCTGTGGTCCTGAGATCTTGCCCTGCCTCCACTTGCCTTGTGATATTCTATTACCTTGTAAAGGACTTGATGTCTGTGACCCACACCTATTTGCACACTCCCTCCCCTTTTGAAAATCCCTAATAAAAACTTGCTGGTTTTTGCGGCTTGTGGGGCATCATGGAACCTACCGACATGTGATGTCTCCCCCGGATGCCCAGCTTTAAAATTTCTCTCTTTTGTACTCTGTCCCTTTATTTCTCAAGCTGGCTGATGCTTAAGGAAAATAGAAAAGAACCTACGGGGCAGGTTCCCCAATAAATAATATAGTTTTGTTAATCTCTTCCTTGAGTTGAAAATGTGTCTAGGTCAAGTGCCACCTTTTTCCCCCTTATATGCTGCTCAGGGGGTAGAGACACTGAAAAGCAAAGGTAGAGGAGGCTGAAAAGGGAGGCCACCGACCACAGGTTTTGGTGTGCCCTGAAATAGCTTGGGCTGCAATGCAAGGCTTGGTTTGTCCACATAAGTCCTGTGTTTCCAGAAGTGCTGAGAAAAAATGAATCTGGTAGCAGGAAGCCAGATGCAACTCTTGCTGCAGAAACGCACCATGAAGTGTTTTGTCTTTCAGTTCTGGTTGGAGATAATTGATTGGAGACAGCAGCAGAGAGCTTTGAACTAAACAGTGCTGGAGGTGTGGGGAAGATCTTCCTTTCTGTCCACTCACTTTGTCAACTGTAGAAAGGCCTCAACTGCCTATGTGGACAGGGTTTGGATGGATCCTGCAGAACAGCTCCAGGGACTGGCCCTGACATCAGGGCTTATAAAGAAGAAAAAAACAACTAGAAGTGTCAACACCCTGCTCTCCAACTCTGGTCCAGAATGCTCTGCTAGTAACTCCTTAAGCAACAATGACTCTTCGTAGTCATAATTTATATTTGAAGATCTTGAGTCCATGTTCTTAGACAGAATTCTTTGCCTTTGGGGAATTATTTACTAAAAAAATTTTTCAGCACCTACCATTCCAGACTCTATGCTAAGTTCTGAAGACACGCAGATGAACAAAGCAGACTGTTCCTTGCTGTCACTCTAGCAGGGGAGGCCAGCAATGCAAAGTCAAATAAACATATAAACAAGATCATAGACTGCTGCACATGCTATGAAGTAAGTAAAACAGGGGTCAATGACAGAAATCACACCCAATCATCAATGCTATTCATTTTAGGAAATCTGGATTTCAAATCACATTAGCTGTGTTCACTGAGTTACTGTTTGAGCTCCCTTTGTTGAGGGTGGATAAGAGAAATACTATGAAGAACACTTTTGGATCTTGTTTTTGTCATGTTACATAATGTTACATGAGTATATTACAATTCACCCAGTGACTTCCTCAAGAATTTAGCACTTGGAAACAGTATTAAACATTCTTGCCTTGCCTGCTTTGGAGCTCAGAAAAGTAGTGTCCCCAAGTTAGGAGGGCAGAATAGCACCCAAGATTAGCATTCAAGTTCTAAGCAAGACTGTTTGAAGTAAAATCCCAGTTCTACCACTTATTAGCTGTGTGACCTCAGGAAATTACTAATCTCTCTGTGCCTCAGTTACTTATCAGGAAAATGTAGAAAACAAAAGTATCCACTTAATAGTGCTGTGGTAAGGATGGAATGAGTGAATACATGCAAAACTCTTAGCAATATACATTGCCTATAGCATAGACTCAAATATTGGCTATTAGCATAGTCACTGGTTTTACATTTTTTCTTCTTAATGGTTTCTAGCTTTTCTTTTTGGCATTTATTTTAAATGTCCTGTCTCGTACATTTTGTATACCCATTTTCTTTTGTAAATAAAAGGAGACAATTTAACACTCAATAAATCATAACAGCCAAGTATTTTCACCAAATATAACTATACTTCATGATAAATTTTGCCTATTTCTTTAAAAATGTTGAGGTACCCTACTTCTTTAATAGGATATTAGGCATAAATAAATGTGGTTGGCACAAAAACAGAAGGAAAGTTGAGTTTGGAGAGGGTGACTTCCCAACCCCATTTGTTCTGAAGATGTCACATGCTTCTCTTATCATACACTCTAGTGGAGTCATATTTTCTAGAAATGCAAATATACTGTTAGGATATTTTGACCCCAGACACAGTTTTGCAAGGTATGATCTAAAATTTTAGAGATTTCTTTCTAAAGTAAGATATATCAATGAGCCTGTAGTGTTTACATTTTTGCTGGTACATAGTAGGTATATATATTTATAAGGCACATGAGATATTTTGATACAGGCATGCAATGTGTAATAATCACATTAGAGTAAGTGGAGTACCCATCACCTCAAGCATTTATCCATTCTTTGTGTTACAAACAACCCAATTATATTCTTTCAGTTATTTTTAAAATTGCAATAAATTATTGTTGACTTAGTCACCCTGTTTTGATATCAAATACTAGATCCTATTCATTCTGCTTAATTGTATTTTTGTTCCCATTACCCACTCCCTTCAACACTATCCCTCTCAGCCACTGCTAACCATCCTTTTATTCTCTTTGTCCATGAGTTCAATTGTTTTAATTTTTAGTTCCTACAAATAAGTGAGAACATGTCAAGTTTGTCTTTCTGTACCTGGTTTACTTCACTTAATATAATGTCCTCCATCTATATTGTTGCAAATAACAGGATCTCATTCTTTTTATGGCTGAATAGTACTCCATTGTGTATATTTACCACATTTTCTTTATCCATTCATCTATTGATGGACACTTGGATTGTTTTCAAATCTTGGCTATTGTGATTAACACTGCAATAAATATGGGAGTGCAGATATCTCTTTGATACACTGATTTCCTTTCATCGGGGTATATACCTAGCTGTGGGATTGCTGGATATGTTACATTTTTTGTTTTTTGAGGAACCTCCAAACTGTTATCTGTAGTGATTGTACTAATGTACATGCCTACCAACAGTATATGAGGGTTCATTTTTATCCACATCCTCATCAGCATTTGTTATTGCCTGTCTTTGGATAAAAGCCATTTTAACTGGAGTGAGATAATATCTCACTGTAGTTTTGATTTGCATTTCTCTAATGATCAGTGATGTTGAGCACCTTTTCATAAACCTGTTGTCCATTTGTATGTCTTCTTTTGGGAAATGTCTATTCTGATCTTTTACCCATTTTTAAGTAGGATTATTAGATTTTGTTCTATAGACTTGTTTGTGTTCCTTATATATTCTGGTTCTTAATCCCTTGTCAGATGGATAGTTTACAAATATTTTCTCTCATTCTGTGGGTGGCCTCTTTACTTTGTTGTTTGTTTCCTTTGCTGTACAGAAGCATTTAAACTTGTAATCCCATTTGTGCATTTTTGCTTCTGTTTGTGGGTATTACTCAAGAAATCTTTGCCCAGACCCATGTACTGGAGACTTTCCCTGATGTTTTCTTACAGTAGTTTCATAGTTCGAGATCTTATATTTAAGTTTTTAATCCAATTTGTTTTGATTTTTGCAAATGGCAAGAGATAGGGGTCTAGTTTCATTCTTCTGCATATAGATATCCAGTTTTCCTAGCACCATTTATAGAAGAGATTGTCCTTTCCCCAATGTATGTTCTCGGCACCTTTGCCAAAAATGAATTTACTGTAGGTGTGTGGATTTGTTTCTAGATTCTCTGCTCTGTTCTACTGGTCTATGTTTCAGTTTTTATGCCAGTAGCATGTTGTGTTGCTTACAGTAGTTCTGTAGTATAATTTGAAGTCAGGCAATGTGATTCCTCCAGTTTTATTCTTTTTGCCCAGGATAGCTTTGGCAGATCTGGGTCTTTTGTGGTTCCATATAAATTTTAGGGTTACTTTTTCTATTTCTGTGAGAAATGTCATTGGTATTTTGATAAGGATGGCATTGAATCTGTAGATTGCTTTGCATAGTATAGGCATTTTAACAATATTGACTCTTCCAACACATGAACATGGAATATCTTTCCATTTTTGTGTGTGTTCTTGTCAATTTCTTCCATCAATGTTTTATAGGTTTTATTGTAGAGATCTTTTATTTCATTGGTTAATTTGTAGGTATTTAATTTTTTATTTGTAGCTACTGTAAATGGGATTACCTTCTGGACTTCTTTTTCAGAGTGTCCACTGTGGGCATATAGAAATACTACTGATTTTTATATGTTGACTTGGTATCTTGCAACTTTACTGAATTTGTTTATCAGTTCTAACAGTTTCTTGGTGGAGTGTTTAGCTTTTCAAGATATAAGATCATATCATATGCAAACAAGGCTGATTTAACTTCTTCCTTTCCAATTTAGCTGCCTTTTCTCTCTTTCTCCCTCTCCCTCTCCTCCTCTCTCTCTCTCTCCTTTATTTATTTATTTATTTATTTATTTATTTATTTATTTATTTTGAGACAGGATCCCACTATGTTGCCCACACTGCACACTGGTCTCAAACTGCTGAGGTCAAGCAATGCTCCCACCTTGACCTCCCAAAGTGCTAGGATTACAGGCAAGAGCCAATGCACCTGGCCTATTTCTCTTGTCTGATTACTCTAGTTAGGACTTTCAGTACTATGTTGAATAACATTGGTGACAGTGGTCATCCTTGTTGTGTTCCAGATCTTAGAGGAAAGGCTTTTCGTTTTTCCCCATTCAGTATGATACTAGCTGTGGGTCTCATATACAGCCTTTATTGTGTTGAGGTATGTTCCTTCTATACCCAGTTTTTTGAGTGTTTTTATCACAAAGGGATGTTGAATTTTATCAAATGCTTTTTTCAGCATTAACTGAAATGATCATATGGTTTTTGTCCTTCATTCTGTTGGTATGATGTATCATATTGACTGATTTGCACATGTTGAGCCATCCTTGCCTCCCTTGGATAAATTCCATGTGATCATGGTGAATGATCTTTTTAATGTGTTCTTGATTTCAGTTTGCTAGTATTTTGTTGGGGATTTTTGCCTCAGTGTTCATCAGGGATATTGGCATATAGTTTTCCTACTTTCCTTTTATTCCTTTGATGTGTCTTTATCTGGTTTTGGTATCAGGGTAATACTGGTATTATAAAATGAGTTTGGAAGTATTCCTTCCTCCTCTATTTTTTGGAATACTTTGAGTAGGATTAGTATTTGTTCTTCTTTAGATGTCTGGTAAAATTCAGCAGTGAAGCCATCAAATAATGAGCTTTTCTTTGCTGGGAGAGTTTTTAATGTGGCTTTGGCCTCATTACTTGTTATTGGTCTATGCAGGTTTTGAATTTGTTCATGGCTCAATCTACTGGATTGAACCAGTTCTCTCAGCTGGACTGAGAGAAATTTATTCTTAGTACGTTGTACATGTTTAGGAATGTACAACCTACCAAGAATAAATTTCTCTCAGTCCAGCTTTCACTGTATCCCATAGGTTTCGGTATGCTGTGTTTCCATTTTCATTTGTTTCATGTAAATTTTCAATTTCTTCATTGACCCACTGGTCATTCAGGAGCATATTGTTTAATTTCTATGTGTTTGTATAGTTTCCAAAATTGGTCTTGTTGTTGACTTCTACTTTTACTCCATTGTGGCCAGAGAAGATGCTTGATATTATTTCCATTTTTTAAAATGTTTTAAGACCTGTTTTGTGACCTAATATATGGTCTATCCTTGAGAATGATCCATGTTCTGAGGAGAAGAATGTGTATTCTGTAGCTGTTGGATGAAGTGTTCTGTAAATATCTATTAGGACTATTTGATCTACAGTGCAGATTAAGTTCAATGTTTCTTTATTGAGTTTCTGTCTGAGAGGTCTGTCCAATGCTGAAGGTGGGGTGTTGAAGCCTCTGCTATTATTGTATTGAGGGCTATATTTCTCTTTAGCTCTAATAATATTTGCTTTATATATCTGGGGGGCTCCAGTGTTGGGTGCATATATATTTACAATTATTATATCCTATTGCTGGTTCAACATCTTTATCATTATATAATGACATTCTTTGTCTCTTCTCATAGTTTTTGTCTTGAAATCTATTTTGTCTGGTATAAATATAGCTATAAGTGTTATTTTTTGGTTTCCATTAGCATGAAATATCTTTTTCCATCCCTTTATTTTCAGTTTATGTGTATCTTTATAGGTGAAGTGTGTTTATTGTAGGCAACAGATCATGAGGTCTTGTTTTTTCACCCATTCAGTCACTCTATAACTTTTGATTAGAGAGCATAGTCCATTTACATTCAATGTTATTATTGATAAGTAATGACTTCCCTCTGCCATTTTGTTATTTAGTTTCTGGTTGTTTTGTGGTCTTCTCTTCCTTCCTTCCTTCCTGTCTTCCTTTTAGTGAAGGTGGTTTTCTCTGGTTGTATGATTTAATTTCTTGCTTTATTTATTTATTTATTTACTTACTTATTTTTTGAAGATGGAATTTTGCTCTTGTTGCCCAGGCTGGTGTGCAGTGGCACAATCTTGGCTCACCACAACCTCTGCTTCCCGGGTTCAAGTGATTCTCTTGTCTCAGCCTCCTGAGTAGCTGGGATTACAGGCGTGCGCCACCATGCCTGACTAATTTTGTATTTTTAGTAGAAACGGGGTTTATCTATGTTGGTCAGGCTGGTCTCGAACTCCTGATCTCAGGTGATCTGCCTGCCTGGGTCTCTCAAAGTGCTGGGATTACAGGCATGAGCCACCACGCCAAGCCTTAATTTCTTGCTTTTTATTTTTAAGGTATCCATTGTATGTTTTTCAATTTGCAGTTAATGTGAGGCTTGCAAATGCTATCTTATAACCCATTATTTTAAACCCATGACAACTTAACACTGATTGCATAAACAAAAAAAAACACACAAAAAGAAAACTAATAAAAACTCTACACTTTAACTTCATCTTGCCACTTTTTAACTTTTTCTTTTTATGTATTATTGTATTGGCTATGTCTTGAAAAATTGTTGGAGTTATTATTTGTGATTGGTTCATCATTTAGTCTTTCTACTTAAGTGTAGTTTACACACTACAATTACAGTGTTGTAATATTCTGTGTTTGTGTACTTATTACCAGTGAGCTTTCAGTACCTTCAGATGATTTCTTCTTGCTCATTAACATCCTTTTCTCTCAGATTGAAGAACTGCCTTTAGCATTTTTATAGGACAGGTCTGGTGTTGATGAAATCCCTCAGCTTTTGTTTGTCTGGGAAGGTCTTTATTTCTCCTTTGTGCTTGAAGAATATTTTTGCCAGATATTCTATTCTAGGGTAAAAGATTTTTTTCTTCAGCACTTGAAATATGTCATGCCACTCTTTCCTGGCCTGTAAGGTTTTCACTGAAAAGCCTGCTACCAGATGTATTGGAACTCCATTGTATGTTGTTTGTTTCTTTTCTCTTGCTGCTTTTAGGATCCTTTATCTTTGACCTTTGGGAGTTTGATTATTATATGTCTTGAGATAATCTTCTTTGGGCTAAAGCTACTTGGTGTTCTATAACCTCCTTATACTTGGATATTGGTATCTTTCTTTAGGTTTGGGAATTTCTCTGTTATTATCCCTTTGAGTAAACTTTCTACCTGATCTCTCTCTACCTCCTCTTTAAGGCCAATGACTCTTACATTTGCTCTTTTGAGATCTTGTAGGCATGCTTCATTCTTTTTTTCTTCTTTTATCTTTTGTCTTCTCTGTGTATTTCCAAATAAACTGTCTTCAAGCTCTCTAGTTCTTTCTTCTGCTGGATCAACTCTCATGTTAAGAGACTCTGATGCATTCTTCAGTATGTCAACTACATTTTTCAGCTCCAGAATTTCTGCTTGATTCTTTAATTATTTCGATCTCTTTGTTAAATGTATCTGATAGTATTCTAAATTCCTTCTCTGTGTTACCTTGGATTGGTCACTGGTGCCTTATTTAGTTCGTTTAGTGAGGTTATGTTTTCCTGGGTGGTCTTGATGCTTGTGGATGTTCTTTGGTATCTGGATGTTTAAGCATCAGGTATTTATTGTAATAGTTGCAGTTTGGGCACATTTGCATCAATCCTTCTTGGGAAGGCTTTCCAAGTATTCAGAGGGACCTAGGTGTTGTGATCTATGTCTTTTGTCACTGCAGCCTTACTGCATTAGGGAGTACCCCAAACCCAGCAACACTGTGGCTGTTGCACAGTCATGAAGGTACTGCCTTGGTGGCCTTGGGGGCCTTGGGTAAGATCCAAGAGAATTCCCTGGATTACCAGGCAGAGACTCTTGTTTTCTTCCCTTACTTTGCCCCAAACAAACTGAGCCTGTCTCCCTTCAGGGTGGTGAGCTTTTCCTGGACCCAGGTAGGTCCACAGATGCCTTCCTGGAGCCAGGGCCTGGAGACAGGAACCTTAAGAATTTAACTTGATGCTCTTTTCTACATTGGCTGAGCTGGCACTGAAGCCACAAGACAAAGTCCTTCCTACTCTTCACTCCCCTGTCCTCAAGCAGAAGGAGTCTGTCCCCACAGCTGTCACAGCCAGAAATGCACTGGGTCACACCTGAAGCCAGCACAGCTCTGAATCTCACCTAAGGCCCAGAGTCCAAATATTTCCCAAACACAATAAATCCTGTGGCAGAGTACACTGAGTGCTTTGACAGGAAAACAAAACATAAGCCAGTATCTTCTGGCCCTCATTACCCAATTGTCATGAGGAGGTGGCAGAGGAGTTGTGTCCATGATTTTAATCAATTTAAGTCATTCTGAAAAATGTCAAAAGGAATTCCTCCCCTCAGGACAAAGCTGCATCAGAGATGTTTCTTCTACCTCTTGCCTCCACATTCAAGATATGGCTTGATTCCTCGTTGCAGAAAAGCCTATATATCAAGTTGGCACAAAAATAATTGCAGTGTTTGCCATTACTTTCAATGGCAAAAATTTGGCTCCCTGAAATCCAATTTCATATGTTACAACTTTGTTAAGTCTAGGAATTGTTAACTCATAATATAACTCAATAAAATAATTACATTAATTATTTTTTAAACTAAAATAGTTTTACAGTCAATAATAGCACATATGCAACTCTAGAAGGTCCCCCTTCTACTTTACAACAGCTCACTGGGTCATGGCCTCCTTTCATATTTTCTCAGACTACTAATGCAGAGAGCAGAGGATAATTTCCTACCCCTCATGCTCATGATATGGTTTGTGAGAAGTCTAAGTCACTTTGACAATCTCCAGAATACTAACACACCCAAGCATCCTATATAATGTATGGTATCGGATGGCTGAATGAAAAAAAGAAAAAAGAGAGTGAGTCTGCGTATTTTTACTGAATGCTTACATGTGTCAGGCACTGTCTAGGCATGGGGGTTAGCAATGAACAGGCTTTATGCAGGTTAGATTTTTCATTTCTCTTCTGGTGTAAAGATCACCAATTTTCCATGGTTATGAATAGAGAGAGTTTTGTCTCCTTTTGGTGATAAAATGAGCCTGTTCTAATTCCTAGAGAACAAATGTTAAAATATTAAATCATTATAGGTGTGTTAGGTTATACATTTGTTGCAGGTTTCAGCATATGGGAACTTTATTCTTTAGGTGGTTCTTATGGAAAATAAAAAAATTAAGATTCAAACGCATAAGAAAGACAAATTTATCCAAATGTCTTCGTAGTCCACTGGAGAGAAACATTTTTGAAAAGAAACAAGATGATTTTCCTCTCAGGAATGTTACTCTTGACCAAGGATTTTTTATCTTGGCACTATTGACATTTTGGGCCAGATCATTCTCTGTTGTGAAGGTTGTCCAGTGCAACGTAGGATGCTTAGCAGCATCCCCGGCCTTCCTTCATTAGATGCGAAAAATTACTACACCCACCTGACCCTATCTGCCAGGCGTGATGACCAAAAATTTCTCCAGGCTTTGCTAAAGGTGATCCAGTGGGAAAAATTCCTTCTGTCAATGAACCATTTTTCTAGAACCTTCTTTAATTTTCATTTCATACCAGCACATTCTTTAACAAGTCCAAATTCAAGACTTAAATTTCTGCCTATGAAGCTAAGTACAAACATGACCTCCTACCAATCTCTACTTTATGATAAATCATTCATAACTAATTACATAGACCCAAGCAAATTACACGTATGGAAAATCTTGATAATATTCAAAGTGGAGATGAAGGAAGATTTTTCAAGAGAGAAACTTCCCACTTTTCATTTTCACCAAGTTTTTTTCAGTGTCTGTGCTATAAATGCATCCATAATCCCAGCTCTCACAAAACTTAAGCTTCTCAATTTCATTCAACCAAATCTATTATGGACAAATTCAAAAAAGAATGACGATTGAGCCAGCATAGGGTCAGCTGAGAAAAAAGCCATTTAGCATTAGTTGCTGTATATGGATGACTCTATACATAATCAAGTCAATTTCATTTTCAGATAATTCTGTTGGCTTTTTTAAGGCTCAAAGAAAATACTGTGTGTTGAGAGACATCTCATACAGAAAAATGGAGTTTTGGCTGGCAATAGGCATGATAATATGAGTTGATTATATCAAACAAAGTCATTGCTATTTTGTGAAAATCAGTAAATGGAAGTTGTTCTGTTCATCAAAATTAAACATTGAAATTCTTTCAATAATTATGTTAGGAGAAGCATTTACAAAATAATATTCAAAATAATGTCAATGAAAAAAATTTATACATATATTTATGTAATGTCTATTACATATCCCTGCGATTTTTTTGTTTCGTTTTTTGAGATGGAGTCTCGCTCTGTCACCCAGACTGGAGTGCAGTGGTGCGATCTCGGCTCACTGCAATCTCTGCCTCCAGGGTTCAAGCAATTCTCCTGTCTCAGCCTCCCGAGTAGCTGGGACTACAGGCACCTGCCACTACGCCTGGCTAATTTTTGCATTTTTTTTTTTTTTTAAGTAAAGACAAGGTTTAACCTTGTTGGTCAGGCTAGTCTCGAATTCCTGACCTCAGGTGATCCACCCGCCTCAGCCTCCCAAAGTGCTGGAATTACATGCGTGAGCCACTGTGCCCAGCCCCTGTGATTTTTATCGGTGGAAAAGATTGGAGAGGAGTGAAATAAATGAGAGTAGTTGTATAACACTGTGGTAGGATTAAGGCTATAGAGCTTTGCTTCCTGTCTCTACTATGTTTTCATGATTTTCAAAAGGCAATTTAGGTAGGGTGTGATGTCTCACGTCTGTAATCCTGTGGCCGGAATTGGTGGGTTCTTGGTCTCACTGACTTCAAGAATGAAGCCCCGGACCCTCGTGGTGAGTGTTACAGTTCTTAAAGGTGGCGTGTCCGGAGTTTGTTCCTTCTGATGTTCAGATGTGTTCGGAGTTTCTTCCTTCTGGTGGGTTCGTGGTCTCGCTGGCTCAGGAGTGAAGCTGCAGACCTTCGAGGTGAGTGTTACAGCTCTTAAGGCGGCGCGTCTGGAGTTGTTCATTCCTCCCGGTGGGCTCGTGGTCTCGCTGGCTTCAGGAGTGAAGCTGCAGACCTTCGCAGTGAGTGTTACAGCTCATAAAGGCAGTGTGGACCCAAAGAGTGAGCAGTAGCAAGATTTATTGCAAAGAGCGAAAGAACAAAGCTTCCACAGCGTGGAAGAGGACCCCAGCGGGTTGCCACTGCTGGCTTGGGCAGCCTGCTTTTATTCTCTTATCTGGCCCCACCCACATCCTGCTGATTGGTGGAGCCCAGTGGTCTGTTTTGACAGGGCGCTGATTGGTGCATTTACAATCCCTGAGCTAGACACAAAGGTTCTCCACGTCCCCACCAGATT
This sequence comes from Homo sapiens, assembly GCF_000001405.40. Lineage (NCBI taxonomy): Eukaryota > Metazoa > Chordata > Mammalia > Primates > Hominidae > Homo > Homo sapiens. Next base: position 29,257,317 of record NC_000012.12, on the reverse strand, counting down.
AGCTAGATACAGAGTGTCCACACAAAGGTTCTCCAAGGCCCCACCAGAGTAGCTAGATACAGTGTGTCAATTGGTGCATTCACAAACCCTGAGCTAGACACAGGGTGCTGATTGGTGTGTTTACAAACCTTGAGCTAGATACAGAGTGCCTATTGGTGTATTTACAATCCCTGAGCTAGACACAAAGGTTCTCCACGTCCCCACCAGACTCAGGAGCCCAGCTGGCTTCACCCAGTGGATCCCGCACTCGGTCTACAGATGGAGCTACCTGCCAGTCCCGCGCCGTGCACCCGCACTCCTCAGTCCTTGGGTGGTCGATGGGACTGGGTGCCCTGGAGCAGGGGGTGGCGCTCGTCGAGGAGGCTGGGGCCCCACAGGAGACCACGGAGGAGGTGGGAGGCTTAGGCATGGCAGGCTGCAGGTCCCGAGCCCTGTCCCACAGGAAGGCAGCTAAGGCCCGGTGAGAAATCCAGTGCAGCGCCGTTGGGCTGGCACTGCTGGGGGACCCAGTACACCCTCCTCGGCAGCTGGCCTGGGTGCTAAGCCCTTCATTGCCGGGGCTGGCAGGGCCGGCCGAGTGCTCCGAGTGCAGGGCCCGCCAAGCCCACGCCCACCCGGAACTCCAGCTGGCCCGCAAGTGCCACGCACAGCCTCTGTTCCCGCCCGCGCCTCTCCCTCCACACCTCCCTGCAAGGTGAGGGAGTGGGCTCTGGCCTTGGCCAGCCCAGAAAGGGGCTCCCACAGTGCAGCGGTGGGCTGAAGGGCTCCTCAAGTGCCGCCAAAGTGGGAGCCCAGGCAGAGGAAGTGCTGAGAGTGAGCGAGGGCTGTGAGGACTGCCAGCAGGCTGTCACCTCTAAATCCTAGCACTTTGGGAGGCTGAGGCACAAGGATCGCTTGATGCCAGGAGTTTGAGACCAGACTAGGCATTATAGTGAGACCCCGTCTCTACTAAAAATGAAAAGCTTAGTAGGGCATGGTAGCACATGCCTGTAATCTCAGCTACTAGGAAGGCTGAGCCGGGAGGATTCCTTGGGCCCAGGAGTTCAAGGCTGCAGTGAGCTATGATGGCGCCACTGCCCTCTAGCCTGGGTGACAAAGCAGGACCCCATGTTTTAAAAAAAACAATAATAATTTTAGATATAATAAGGCCGGGTGCAGTGGCTCACGCTTGTAATCCTAGCACTCTGGGAGGCCGAGGTGGGTGGATCACCTGAGGTCAGGAGTTTATGACTAGCCTGGCTAACATGATGAAACCCTGTCTCTACTAAAAAATACAAAAAATTAGCCAGGCATGGTGGTGGGCACCTGTAATCCCAGCAACTCAGGAGGCTGAGTGGGTAGAATTGCTTGAACCCAGGAGTCAGAGGTTGAAGTGAGCTGAGACTGTGCCACCGCACTCAAGCCTGGGTGACACAGTGAGACTCCATCTCAAAAAAAGAAATAAATAAAATAAAAATAATAAGATAAACTGAAAAGGCAATTTAATAATACTTACTTTAAAAAGAATTTCTTAGAAAGTAGTAAAATTAGCCAGACATGGTGGTGCATGCCTGTAATCCGAGCTACTTGGGAGGCTGAGACAGGAGAATCGCATGTACCTGGGAGGCAGAAGTTGCAGTGAGCTGAGATTGTGCTATTGCACACCAGCCTGGGCAACAAGAACGAAACTCCATCTCAAAAAAGAAAAAGAAAAAAAAAGAAAAAAGAAAGTAGTGATAGCCAGTATTTTATAGTCTCTACTTTTGCTGTGGGCACTAGGAGTATAAAAAAATTTGCAAAACATGCTTCCTTAGTTTAAGATATATTTAAGTTATTTTTAAAAGTGTGGCCCAACTGACATTACTAAACATTGTCATGGGCTTAACTGTGTCTCCCTAAAATTCATGTGTTGAAGCCCTAGCCTACAGTGTGATAGTATTTGGAAAAAGGAACTTTAGAAGGTTATTAAGGTTAAATGAGGTCACCAGGGTGGGTCCCTAATCTCATAGGACTGATGTCCTCATAAGCAGAGGGAGGGACACCAGAGAGCTCTCTAGGCAGACACAGAGAAAGGCTATGTGAGGACACAGGGAGAATAATAGGCAATAGTCTGCAAGCCAGGAAGAAAGGCCTTACCAGAAACTAATTTTATCACCACCTTGATCTTGAATTCTAGCCTCCAGAACTGTGAGAATATAAGGGTCTGTTGATTAAGCAACCCATTCTGGTATAGTCTGGTATTCTGTTATGGAAGTCCAAGCAAAGTAATACACACACAAATGCATCTGAATAGAGATGTAAATTTTTTTGACTAGTGAGTCAAATAATGCATCACAATCATTGATATCAACTATTTAATTTCTGGAGTAAACTTTTTTTTTTTTTTTTGAGACAGTCTTGCTCTTTCACCCAGGCTGGAGTGCAGTGGTGCAATCTCTACTCACTGCAACCTCCGCCTCCTGGGTTCAAGTGATTCTCATGCCTCAGCCTCCCAAGTAGCTGGGATTAGAGGTGCCCACCACCATGCCAGGCTAATATTTTGTATTTTTAGTAGAGATGGGGTTTCACCATGTTGGCCACGCTAGTCTCGAACTCCTGACCTCAAGTGATCTGCCTGCCTCGGCCTCCCAAAGTGCTGGGATTACAGGCATGAGCTACCATGGCCAGCCTGGAGTAAACTTTTATAATGAAGCAAATGTAGCTGTTTCATGTTCCCATTTTGTAGCATAATAGTGTGATCTTAGTTCTTGGTTTTCACACACTTGTGACAATACGGCCAGGTATTTTATGATGAAATACAAAGACCTAATTGATCCAAGCCTTGAAAATGTATATATCAGGCTGGGCACAATGGCACACTCCTGTAATCCCAGCTACTCAAGAGACTGAAGCATGAGGATTGCTTGAGCTCAGGAGTTTGGGACCGCCCTAAAATAGCAAGATCCCCTTGCTTAAAGCAAACAAAAACAATTGTATATCAGTCACATATCTGTTTGTCAAACACTTAATGAAAAAATGTTTTAATCTAGATTTCTTTCTTTTTTTGCTTTAATTTCCTGAGTATACCCCAAATTATTCAATTCAGCAATTAACTTAGGTACTTTTCACTGTGGGCTTGTTATATATAGTTTTTCCAGGAGAATTTTTAAGTTCCTGGTAAAGGAATATTAACTCCCAGGGGAATTGTGGACAGCTGTTGGGAACAGCCCTCACTAATTGGATTAGCAATACTCCATAGTCAAGAAAAACCAATTTGGAAATGGTCCCAGCTGGGGAGAGATAGTCAAAGCTGGTCTTAAGAACACCAAATTTAGCAATCACCTCAATACATTCTTCTTAGATTGCTTCTGCTTAGCACATTAATAAGTCTTTTTTAAAAAAATCAAGTTTAAGAGAAATGAAGAAGAAAAGAATATAACCTAAATCCACCATTTCAATATAATAGATTAAACACATGTATTGAATGTCTACTATGTGCTACACACTATGTTAAGCGTAGCCAATGAATGTCTAAACATCCTTGCTAAATGTAAAGCATTATAAAAATGCAAGCTGTTGTTAATATTGTTTGTAAAAGGTAAGTCAAACAGCATTAGCCTATGAAGATGATAAAATGATATTGAGAACCACAGTTAAATGTAAATTTTGATGCTTTTTATTTGCTCTGGGTGATTTATAAATTGGATCAGCTTACAAATAAAAGATTGGTTGATCTATTAAAACCCAATGAGAACAGGAGTTCAACTGAATGGATAGTAAGCCAACACATTTTTTTATGCTTTGCTTAGAATTAAAGGCTTTTTCAAATAGATTATCATTGTATTAGTTTAGAGTTCTCCAGAGAAATGACCAATACATATACATAGATATATGTATCTATATATATAGGTGTATGTGTATATACATACATATCTATCTATCTATCTATCTGTCCATCTATCTAGATATCTATCTATCTATCTAGATAGATAGATATCTGTATAGATAGATATAGATATATAGATATCTATCTAGATAGATATAGATATATAGATATCTATCTAGATAGATATAGATATCGATATATAGATATCTATCTAGATAGATATCGATATATAGATATCTATCTAGATAGATATCGATATATAGATACCTATCTAGATAGATAGATAGAGAGAGAGATAGGGAGAGAAAGAATCATTTACTTTAAGAAGTCGTCTCACACAGTTGTGGAGGCTTGGCAAGTTTAAAATCTGCAGGTTAGGCTAGCAGGGTGGAGACCCAGGGAAGAGTTGCAGTTTGAATCCAAAGGACATCTGTTGGTATAATTTCTTTTGGCTCTGGGAAGATGAGTCTTTGTTCCATACGGCTTTCAACAGATTGGATGAGGCCCACCCACATAATGAAGGGTAACCTGCTTCACTCAAAGTTCACCAATTTAAATGTTAGTCTCATCCAGAAGCACCTTCACAGAAATATCCAGAATAACTTTGACCAAATACCTGGGCACTACTGCCCAGCCAAGTTGACACATAAAATTAACCATCACAAGTCCACCCCGTGTCAACTTGGCAACCATTTGCCTCTCTTTAAACCATACTTAATGTCAATAACAAGGTTATAATTCCATCTAACATAAATACAACTATCCTGCATACAACCAAAAACGCACTAACCCTTTCCCCAGAAGAGGATGCAAAGCTCTTGGTTGATGTTTACTTTTTTTCGTGATATCTGTAACTTAAATCCTATGATGGAAAGTTAATAATCCTCAAATACTACAATAAAAAGTCGACACATGTTGCATGATAAGCGGACAAAAGAGGAAAGAAAGAAATATTTGCTATATACACACATATTCATAACAAAGTAAGGAAGAAATATTCATGATTATGACAGTCCTCATTTCTGTAACTGGTCTCATGGTCATAGCTGGTATTTATAGCTACCTTCTTCCACTATTCATTCCATGTTCCCTTTTCCTTCAGTAAGCACTCCAGGTAGTCATAATTCTTTACCTCGTGGGATGACCCAAACCTTCATTCCTGAAAGGTCTGGCCCATAATAGTCCTGCCTGGGTTGGGTCATTGCAATTTTCCATTGACCTTAATTACAGGGCATGATAATACCAAGAAACACCCTAAAGGATCTCCTGTATTTCAGACAGACTCTTCCTTACCTCCACTGTGGAGTAGCAGTTCCATTTTCCCCTAGTAGTCATGGTTGACCACCCCAACCCAGTAATAGTAACTCCCTTCTTTGCTTGTTCATCCAGAGTCATGAGGATCTCAAAGTTTCCAGTGGCAGTGCTAACTTCCAGTTCAGTGGAATTATTGTTAGGTCTCTTTGTGGCAGCATTTCTCCCTCTCGAACTAAGACCTTCAAGCTAGCAGAGCATAATGTCATAGGGACAGGAAAAAATTTTCTAGTGGGTCACTAGGGGTAATAAATAGTGAGTGATGCCACTCTGACATTCACCCCTTGATCTTGGACCCATGAATCCTGGCTCTGGGAGAAACAGCACCATATATTAGACACTGATTCAGAGCATGTGCAGCTTTCTGGAGAGCCTTGCACAATCCGTGATGGTGGTATTGGTCTCTAATCTTTCCAAGAATGTGGTATTGCTTTTGGTTTACTATTTTTCTAGATAGAGGCAGTTCTAGTTGTTTCTTCTTAGCCTTTCCCACCATAATGCCCTCACTCCACAAGTCAGGGAACTAATGTATGGATTCTGCCAGTTGCTCAGGATATCTTTTCCAGTTATGCATTCTGGAACTAGAGAAAAGACCACAGTACAGGTTAGGGGTCTCACTGGGTCTACTGTGAGACAGATCTAAACTAAAACTGCATTGATCACCTGACCTCCTATTCTGAGTGGAGGGCCACAATGATGTTTAGGGTTTCCTAGAATTAGTGTCAGTTCAGACCAGTCTCCAGTTATCCCTCAAAAGTCTGGTTATTTCCTTTTTTCCCAACTCACAGTCTCCCTAGTAAAGGGCCAAGGGTGCCTTTGGGGAAGTCTGGGAGAAAGATTAAGTTTAAATTTTTTGGCAGTGTATCAGGGTCCTTCCTCAAGGGACCTGGCCCCAACTTCATTCAAAAGGTTCTAGGTCTGTAAACTGGCTCAAGTCTGGGAATTGATCAGTGGCGCCATGATTATCTGTTTTGATGAGTCAAGCTACACTTTTTGTTCAGTTGACCTTGAACTTTTCTGTTTATACAGATCAAGTAAGATTAATAGACTTCTCTATCCACTTCACTTCTAGGAACATCCTAATCAACTAGCCAATGCCACAGGTCTCTTCAAGTCAGACTCTTCTGATTGCTGTTTTGACTCTGCTGTTCATTACAGTAACATGCCCACCTCCTCTTTGAAAATTGAGTGCCACTACTTGGCCCCTGCCACCCTAGGATCCAATTACTCCCATTGCAGTTAGGTTTTCCAATTCAGTGACAGGAGCTTCCACTGTAAATTCTGTTTTTCAGGAAGGGTGATCACAGAGCTCCTCTAGGATGCTGGGGCTCCCCGCACAAATTTATTTCTGTGGCCCAGCCAAGTTTACACAAAATTAATCCATTATATTTTCTCCTAACACATTCACTATATGTAGGACTTCTCTCACATTTTTAGTGAACAGAATTCTTGCTTGATGGCTTGGCAGCTAAATGTAAAATACTTATTGATGGAAAGGGAGTTGTATTGATTTGATTTGAAATTATTTCTTTTGTCTATTTTTCACCTAAACTGTTCATTACTGAAATAATGCCATCTTTCAAAAATTATTCTATTTCTAGACCGTCTCAGTGTAACTAACAAAATAAATAATATGAGGTATAAGATAGGTGTAATGATAAGAATACTGTGCTAGAAACCAGAAAACTTGGACATTCAATCTGATCTATTACTAACTCTTCATGTAAATCTGAATCTTGAATCTCTAAAGATCTGAGATTCAGTTTTCTCTTCTATTAAATAAAATTCTAACTATCCCACAGAGCTGCCTTAATAATCAAATAAAGTAATAACCAGGAGAGATTGGTTGGACCAATGGATCCAACTGGTCTGACCAGAACAGAATCTGGTCAGATCCAGCTATTTTGCTCCTGGATCTAACTACCTAGTGGTTATGTATTAATACATACATAGTGAAGACACATCTTGTTACCCTGACCAACTAAACACTTGAAACAGAGACTGTATTTTTGTTTCATATTAGCCGTCACACACTAACCAGCACAGAACAATGCAAAGTAGCTCAATAACTATTGTTGAATCAATGAATGAATGAATCAAGACTGAAAGTACAGAAAGGAGGTGGTGCACAAATGCTAGTGAGCATTCGAGTCACTTGGAAAACTTTCTAAAGATCACTCTTTACTAGATCTCATTTTCTGAGATTTTAATTAAGGAAGGCTGAGATAAGGCCCAGGTAGATGCATTTTAATGAACATTCCCACTGATTCGGAAGTAAGAGGTAAGAGAAATTGGTGTAGGGAATTTGACTGAGTCTGTTCTCATTCCAGATCATGTCTTGTACCTTAGAATATATCCTTAATATAAGCCTGTGTTGCCCCTATGATTTGGAGTTTTTTACCCTTAAAACTAATAATAATAAAATAATCTGCTTACTTGATAATTTACATTTCTAATGATAGTAGCAAATGGATACTATCAGAAGCAGCAGAGCATGACTCCAGTTCAGGCCACATTCTAAGTCTAAGTTTCTAGTTGCACTAAAGTAATTGTGATGGAAAGAAACTTCTACCTATTTACTATGAACATCAAAGATCACAGATGTCACACATAACAATACATGTATTAGAAGAGGTGGAATGTAGAGATACCCTTTCAAATGAATAACTCAAAGTTTTAAAAAGTATTTTCCCTTTGGGTTCTTACTTCCTGATGTTAAAAGTTGAAACAAATGGCTATTTAATGATGTTGAAAAATGTAGTGTAAATGCATGCACAGATAATAGAATAGCATACCAACGATTAATAAACTTATTGTACTACTATTGCATGAAAAACTGTTGCGGGAAGTCAGGGACCCCAAACGGAGGGACCGGCTGAAGCCATGGCAGAAGAACGTGGATTGTGAAGATTTTATGGACATTTATTAGTTGCCCAAATTAATACTTTTATAATTTCTTATGCCTGTCTTTACTGCAATCTCTAAACATAAATTGTAAAGATTTCATGGACACTTATCACTTCCCCAATCAATACCCTGGTGATTTCCTATGCCTGTCTTTACTTTAATCTCTTAATCCTGTCAGCTGAGGAGGATATATGTCATCTCAGGACCCTGTAATAATTGCACTAACTGCACAAATTGTACAGCATGTGTGTTTGAGCAATATGAAATCTGGGCACCTTGAAAAAAGAACAGGATAACAGAAATTGTTCAGGGAATAGCAGAGATACCCTTAAACTCTGACCGCCGGTGAGCCGGGCGGAACAGAGCCATATATCTCTTCTTTCAAAAGCAAATGGGAGAAATATTGCTGAATTCTTTTTCTCAGCAAGGAACATCCCTGGGAAAGAGAATACACACCTGGGGGTGGGTCTCTAAACTGGCCCCGCTGGGCGTGGCCATCTTTTATGGTCGAGACTGCAGGGGTGAAATAGATCCCAGTCTCCCATAGTGCTCCCAGGCTTATTAGGAAGAGGAAATTCCCGCCTAATAATTTTGGTCAGACCAGTTGCTGTCAAAACCCTGTCTCCTGATAAGATGTTATCAATGACAATGGTGCCCGAAACTTCATTAGCAATTTTAATTTTGCCCTGGTCTTGTGGTCCTGTGGTCCTGTGATCTCGCCCTGCCTCCACTTGCCTTGTGGTATTCTATTACCTTGTAAAGTACTTGATGTCTGTGACCCACATCTATTTGCACACTCCCTCCCCTTTTGAAAATCCCTAATAAAAACTTGCTGGTTTTTGTGGCTTGTGGGGCATCACGGAACCTACCGACATGTGATGTCTCCCCTGGACGCCCAGCTTAAAAATTTCTCTCTTTTGTACTCTGTCCCTTTATTTCTCAAGCTGGCCGATGCTTAAGGAAAATAGAAAAGAACTTATGTGAATATTGGGGCAGGTTCCCCGATATACCCTTAAAAGTAATAATAATAAAATAATCTGGTTACTTGATAATTTACATTTCTAATGATAGTAGCAAATGGATAATATCAGAAGCAGCAGAGCTTCACTCCAGTTCAGGCCACATTCTAAGTTTCTAGTTGCACTAAAGTAATTGTGATTCAAAGAAATTTCTACCTATTTACTATGAACATCAAAGGTCACAGATGTCACACATAACAATACATGTATTAGAAGAGGTGGAATGTAGAGATATCCTTTCAAATGAATAACTCAAAGTTTTAAAAAGTATTTTCCCTTTGGGTTCTTACTTCCTGATGTTAAAAGTTGAAACAAATGGCTACTTAATGATGTTGAAAAATGTAGTGTAAATGCATGCACAGATAATAGAATAGCATACCAACGATTAATAAACTTATTGTACTACTATGGCATGAAAAATATCTTAATTTCTTCTCACAAGATACGGTCATTTCTTCTGCCACTCCTATGGGTTAAGAGACTTATACAGGTTTATCCATGCAGAGTTTAGAAATAAAGTTGGAAATTTCTATTTCCCAGTTCTTACAACTGTATCTCAATGTGTTATTCAACCAAGGAAATAAAGTTGGTAATTTCTGTTTCCTAGTTCTTACAACCGTATCTCAATGTGTTATTCAACCAAGGAAATGAAGTGGAAACAAAATAGTTTAAATGTGTGAAGACCTTTAACAAGGCCTTGCTTAAAAGGAGATTGATTCAGCACCATAAACTAAGTCCACCAAGAAGACTATTGATTCATGGAATAACACTGAAAAACTGCTACAACATCATTGCACAAATTACTGTTTGCAACCAAAAGATGATAGTGGCCTAGATATAAAAACACATTGTTCTTTTGCAGATATGTGGATTAAGAGAATTTGTTAATGTCAATGATTAGACACAGTATTTATTAACTGTATCTGTCAGAAGAAAAGGCACAGCATTAGTTGCTTCATACAGTGAGACTCCAGGAGCTTAGTCACTGCCACATATCAAGTAATTATTTCTTGAACCATGTGGAAAGTTACATTTCCTAAAAAAGTTAATATGAAGGTTAATTATGTGCAAATCAATATAATATAGTAAACTGGAAATCCTTATTTCCTAATGGAAGTTACTGATCGTAACCTGTGCCAATAAATTGGCAGTCTCTTAGGAAATATGTGAGTAAATGTAAATACATGATTTGGAAATATGCAGTTAGTTCTGTATGTTAGTTATTAGTTATTATGAAATATTATGAAATATTATGAATTATGAAATAACTAATAAAGTTATTAGTTCTTTATGAAGAACAAATGATGAATTAAAGCTAATAATTTCCCTACCAAAATTGTCTCCATAGGAACTTGTTCCATGTTAGAAGAACAATAAACTTCAAATAGTATACTTATTTTTCTCTGGTAATATGCAATTCTATTTAAAAATCAGCAAAAGTTTTAGGCATTTGTCTTTAAGAGAAGGTACTCACAGATCTGCAAAAATTACTTCTTAATAGTGTTAAACTGTGAGTAGTAGCTACAGTACATAAGACTAAAAATACAAGAATTTAATTTTTTCATATTATTAAGTCTGCTGTTTTATGGTCTACACTCTGCGATATAGTTCTTAATTTGACCCTTTATTTTAGAATTTATATGCTGATGCAATTTATTATTGACCTGTTTTGTATATAGGGCAAATATCTGTGTTTATTTTGTTTATCGATCTAAAGTGAATTTTGATTTCCTTTTGATTTCTGTGTATCTCACTCTAAGCTATTGTAAAGGTGTGGAGCTAAGGGAAAGACAGAAGAATTCCAAGTCTAAATTCCTGCCTATTTTCTGAGGGCCTGCCTCCAGTCAGAAAGAGGTGAAATTAGAAGAGGTGAAATGTTGAGATATCTTTTCAAATCAATAACTGAAAGTTTTTAAAACTTGATCTTTTTTTTTCTCTGAGTTCTTGCTTTCCAGTGTTAAAAGTTGAAACAAATGGCTTTTTAAATGATGTTTAAAAATATAGTGCAAATGCATGCACAGATAATAGAATAGCATACCAATGATTAATAAACTTATTGTATTACCCTGGCATGAAAGGGTTAGATCTCAAAGCATCCTAATTTCCATGTACCATGATAGTAAAAAGGAAAATTTGATGTATATATTAAAAAAATATAAAACTATAACTATATATACCTAGCTATACTTATATAATTATATATAGCATATTATGTATAACAATATCATATAATATTAAAATAGTAAGGTGACTATAGGAAGGAATTTTAGCTCCTTTTAGTGATGAATAGTAAATCATTTGTGTATTGTGAAGCTGGTTTTGAATAAGAAGTATTATTGGAGATGTGGGAATGCAAGAAGGTATTTGGGGTAGTGATGTTGGGAAAGCAAGGGGAGATGAGAAAGTCCGATGTGTATTCTAAGTGCAAAGTATGGCTGTAGAAATTAGTTCCTGGGAGGAAAGCAAAGAATCCCAGGCTAGAAGAATAGATGACAACAGAAGATGGAAATCCAATGCCAGCATAAAGAGGTAGATTTTTATAGGGACTGGATATTTCTGAGCAATAAAATTATAATGACCAGAAGAGGCTGAGAATGAGACAAGAAACACATCTGGAGTCTATTTCAATGATCCAGGCCAGAGGTATTGAGGAGTTGAACTGGGGCAAGGAGTAGTGGTTCTCATACTTTAACGCAAATCAGAAAGAACCATCTGGGAAGTTTACTTATTAAACTTGCAGATTTGGAGACCCCCCAAGCCCAACCCCATTCTGATTCAGGGGATGACTAATTTAATGAGTACTGACACATAAATAAAGCAGATGTGGGTTTGAATTTTAGCTCTACCACTTACTAGCTATGATCTTAGGCAAATGACAGGCCATACCAGTTGCTATTTCCTCATTTGTAAAGTAAGAACAATATTATTGGGAAGACTTACTTTAAAAGGGCAGACAGGGCCAGGCGCAGTGGCTCACGCCTGTAATCCCAGCACTTTTGGAGGCTGAGGTGGGCGGATCACGAGGTCAAGAGATTGAGACCATCCTGGCCAACGTGGTGAAACCCCGTCTCTTACTAAAAATACAAAAATCAGCTGGGACTGGTGGCGCATGCCTGTAGTCCCAGCTACTCGGGAGGCTGAGGCAGGAAAATCGCTTGAACCCGGGAGACGGAGGTTGCAGTGAGCCAAGATCATGCCACTGCACTCCAGCATGGCCGTAGAGTGAGACTCCATCTCAAAAAAAAAAAAAAGTGCGGACAGAAACTGGCGTGTTTTACAGTTGAGTCAATGAGGCTGGAATGGAAGGGATGGGTGGTAGAAACACTGGAAGGACAATGTGCTTTTTCTCTTAAACTCTTATCATATTTGATCTTGTATATTTGTGTCCATGATTTTCTGCTGTACAAGTTCTTTAAGGGTAGAGACTTTAGTCATTGTTGTATAGCCTAGATAGTGTAATTGAATGAATAAGTTCTGTCAGATCTTGTCTCTAGCTGCATTTGTGTTCATCATCGATTTCATATCATATGCTTGGGTTCTTTAGGGTGGGAACAATAGATTCACTTTGCATCTCTAGTGCCTGGGAAGCTCTCAGTGTCCAATCAATGCTGTTTAAGAGAATGAATAAACGAGGAAATGGATGGATAAATGGATGTTTGGAGGATGAAGTGCACACTAGTAATGGCTGAATGCTAGGCCGGGTCTCTTTTCTCTGAAATCCTGGTCTCCAGGGTCTCTGCTACACAAAATGCAAGAAGCTCTGCCTGTCACTTTGAGATATACAGTTCCTAAGAGGTTGTGTGAACCAACTGGCTTGGAACATATTTCTGTTAAATCACTGGAAGAAATTTAGCATTTAGAGTTCAAAGTTGGCACCACTTCACACTGACACTAATAAGAAGCTACTTTATGTCACCATGTCACCTTTCTTTCCTGTTCACTGAACAAGGCTTTAAAATTGTATTTAATGTGTTCATTGGCACATTCTTTCCTGAATTCAGCATTTTTGGAGCATGAAGTGACCAAAATAGTCATTTTTGATTTTGTATAAGTTCTATGATGAATCATTTGATTATTTTTAACTCAATCAGATATTGGGAGCACTGGTGAAAAAAGAACATACAGGAATATCCAAATGACATAGCAGATAATAGGAAAGGTAATGTCTACTATCACCACAATAGCTATTTGATATAAGTTGGGAAATTCATTCATTCATTCATTCATTCATTCAACTGCTGATTAAATGTACACTATGTTCCAGGGATTGTGCTACATGCTGGGGATACTATGATGAACGAGACACCACCTGTTCAGTATGAGGTGCTTTGTCTCTCATCTTTTAAAGGTTCTTATTATTGAGTTTTTAACAACTGCAGATGCCTTTAAACTCATTGATATTCCAAGAAGAATACATCCTGAACTCAACATGATGTTAAAGACTTACTAGAGCCCTGGAGTTTCTTTTGGACTTTAACAGTTCCTAGAAGAGAAATGAATGGGATGGCAGTTTCAGACTTTCCTAAGGAATTCAGAGGTATTAGGCCTATAACTGCTACACCATTCCAACGCTGGCATAATTCCACAGAAAATGACCAGGATATATCAACATAACCTGAGCTTCTCCACATCTGCCCATTTCTAATCCAAGACTCCAACACTGAGATCAAGAAAAACATACCAGATAGCAGTGGTTTCAAACACTTGATGAGTTATATTATTTACTGAGCACCTGCTACATGACTGCTCTCTGATGAATGCTTCATTGAAACTGAATTTACAAATGAGAAATAAAAATGAAAATAATAAAATAGAACTTTGACCTACAACCGGTAGCAACTTGCCCAGGAAACCAACCCCTTATCTGTAATAAACAATCCAGGAAGCCAGCCTGCTATAAGTCAGACTTGCAGGAAACCAGATTGCTATCTCCAGTGACAATCCAGGAAGATAAATGATCATTTCTGTAACAACTGGCCCCAAACTGACAAGACTTAATTACTGACAGCTTCCCTAATTTTGGCCCCACTTCCAAGTTAACACCAACCACAGAAAATCAAAAATACATCCCCTAACCAATCACGCAGGGTGCCCCACCTCTAGCTGGCCTGCTTATAGCTTCCCCATGCAACAGCCTCCAATCAGGGCAGAGCTGAAGCCTTCCCGTTTTCCACTATAATGCTTTCCCACTCTCCTGCGTGCCTTTGAGTCTCTGCTAAAATGTTAAGTGATGGTGGCTGACTCCCTTGCTGTAGCAAGCTTGGAACAACTAGCCTTTCTTTTTCTCATTTGGTAGATTTTCATTTAGTTCCACATAACTATTATACCCATTTTTACAGATAAGGGGATTTATAAAGATTAGCTTTTAAATGGGCCACACAAGAAGCAGAGCAAGAGTTGGAACCTGATCTCCCTCATTCCAAAGTTATCCTATTAACTAGTATCCAAATGTAGAAAAGAAAAGAGAGGTTTTTCCTTTACTGTCCTCTGCCATACCTACTCTGTCATTTTGAGTACTTTCCTCTTTCCTTGAAAGAAAGTGACTCTAATATCGGCCTGCAGGCCTGCTGGTTTTGCAGACAAATGCAATTCAGATACACTGGTAAGAGTTTAAGGCGATACTGAGGATGATAATGGCAATCCTACTTCTGTATTTCTTTACCATAGGTTGAATATATGAACAGTTGGGAGCCCAGCAGGTGGTGAGACTTGAGTTGCTCCTGGGGAAACAGTTCTCTGTACTGTCACTGTGTCACAGGACCACAGTGCTGCTCACTTCTGCTGCTTCCCAGTGACTCAATTAGGGAATTGCACTTAGTAAGTGTGGGCGTTTATGTAACTTGAAAGCATTTCAACATAACATGCCAGCTTGAGAACACAGGATTTCAGCACAAGCTTATTCACTGAGAGGACTGGGTAAACTCCCTAGTATAATGCTGTTCAGAGGTCAAAAAGAGAAGTGGATTAACAATAATTTTTTTAAAGAAGCTTTTTGTCTTCATTACTACACCTTATTTGTCATTTTGAGTCACCCAGTTCTAAATGGAGTGAAGCCAAGGGAAAGGCCTCAAATACATAAACTTCCTTTCTAGCTCCTCAGAAGTCTTGAAGTCGTGTGTCACACTGGTGTGACTCCTTCGGTGTAAAGTGGCGTGCTGAGCATTAACACGGATGTTTGCAAACATTTGAGGCAAGGCCTATGCTCTGTGTTCAGACTTAGCACCAGGAGAAGCCCACATTGCTCCCACATTTGCCATCCTCAGCTGTCACAGAATACATGGGCTGAGGTGATTTCTCTGTAGAGACTCTAGTGAGGAAAGGGGGGATTTGTTCACAGCTTCGATGCACGCACCCAGGGGGTGCTACACCCATCAGCAATTCTCTCTGGAATCAACAATTCCCTGGAGCATCTGAGGTGCTCCTGCCTCCTCGGAAATGAAAAGCAGGAAAAACGGCAAGCAACCCAAGTCCTGCTGCTGGAATAGGCAACAGGAAACAGGAGACTTTTCGTTTTGAAGGTGTTTGCCCTGCTTTTTATTTCAAATATTGATCTGGGAAAGGAAGGGAGATTTTACATTTCATACGTCTTTTAAAAAGAACTCAGCATCAAAGGAAACATTGAGAACATTGTCAGGTTGTGATAAAGTCTGCAAAAAACACCTCAGTGTGAGAGAATAAAAAAAGAAATAAGAGAATTAGCTGGAGAGATAAGAGGAAGGAGAGGGAGAACAAACTCATTTTTTTTCCTGCAGAGAAGGGAAAAATACTGAGTAGTATATACACACTAAAACAGAAACCATGATGTACAGAATAACTAGATCAATCTAAATAAATAAAGAAGATCAATCTAAATTTACAGAAATTCCTCTTTCACTTTCTTGAGAAAGTCTTTCCAGATTTCCATCAGATACAAAATAGAAAGCCACAGCAATATTAGAAGAAGAAAAAAAAAGATGAAGTGGAGACATGTATACATACACATTTTGGCATATGTGTACATACATACAAAAGCATCCACACATTATATTTGTACACACACATACATTATATGTGTAGCATGTGCATAGCTTAATCTTTCTTTAGTACACATTCAGAGTGGCACTTTCAATACTAGCTTTTAAATACACAATGAGGCCGGGTGCGTGGCTTATGCCTGTAATCCCAGCACTTTGGGAGGCTGAGGTGGGTGGATCACTTGAGGTCAGAAGTTCGAGACCAGCCTGGTCAACATGGTGAAACCCCGTCTCTACTAAAAATACAAAAACTAGCTGGATGTGGTAGTGCATGTCTGTAATTCCAGCTACTCAGGAGGCTGAGGCAGGAGAATCACTTGAACCCAGGAAGCGGAGGCTGCAGTGAGCTGAGATCGTGTCACTGCACTCTAGCCTGGGTGATGGAATGAGACTCAGTCTCAAAAAAAATATATAAAAAAAAATATACATACACACACACACACAATGACATTCCTAGTGCTTTAGAGAAACGTACATATATTTTTAAGATGTATACCTTGTGCCTGTGATTAATTACAAAGTTCAGTTACCTTTTTCAATGACTTCATCTCTGGATATAGTTACTAAACGCTGCCTGACTACATTCCAGAGAGGAGTAAGAGAGCTTGAGTGCCTGGTGGGAGAGGGAATGCCCATGAAGCAAACTGGGCTGTGGATGATGAGACAAGGCAGTAAATTCACATTTTCAAATTAAAAAAAAAACAACCCATTTTGTGCCATGATTTCTCTGTGTCACCTCACCCCTTCTGGGAGTGCTTGCTACACAGTTATATTGGTGGTACTTTTGGAAAGTGGAGCAGCGTCGGCCATTGGAAGTCATATGGAAGGAGGAGTCCTGACAGGTAGTGAGCCAATTAGCAGGGAGAGGAAGAATTGCACGGAAGCAGGACTTCAGAGTGGGAGTTGATGGTGAAACTACAAATTGGCCAGGAATCCCTGGAAATGCAGGTGTAAGCTCTGACTTCCAGAATGCTTGGAATCTGGCATGAGTTATGTTTTTGCTTACTAAAGGGAAGGTTGACTCCAACCTGTCATTAAAATATCTGAAATTATACTATTTTGTATAAACAGTGGTAAGTGAATCTTATGAGCCACGCTGTCGACAGCTGGAGTCAGGAGAATATAAACATTTGTCTTTTTGATAGAGAAAGAGATTTTGGAAGCTCTTGGAACGATGGAAGATGTGAAGGCTAGAAAATTGGGGCAGCAGATACCATCTCAAACATAGGATAAAAGTAATGTGGAAAGTAAGAGCCAGATGACTGGATAGTGGTTCTCTGAAAAGGACTAATATAGGGGCAAAGAATACCTAAATCATCTTTCTGTTTTAAAACATGGAAAGCTATCTGTCCTTCTTGTGTAGCAACAATAAATAAAATACAACAATAAGATTTCTGTCATTAATAAAGCCAGAGGATATATATTAATCATCTACTTAGAAGAATTTTCAAAACCTGAGTTCATATATATAAAGGATTTGCCAGATTTTAAATTATTATTACATTGTTGAAGGATAATATTTCTCTGCCTTTGCACTTTGAAAAAATATAAAATCTTTGGTTATGATGACTTTGGGGGACATTTGTTTTGTGGCTTTCCAGCATTTTCCTCTACTGGTCATCACCTCACATCATCTCTTCCCACGTGGGTAGTCTTTTGGGAGCTGTTACTCAAGATGCTCTGCCCTCTTAGCCAAGGGATAAAATTTTTAACTTTGAGTAAAAGGACACAAAGTTTTATACACACACACACACACACACACACACACACAGTTGATTCATTTAGCTGTGGCACATTGGCCAGATAATCTAGTCAATTAATACTTTTCTAGATACAAAAAAACAGGACTTTGATAGCTCTTAGGAAATGGAAAGGGTTTCCTGCCCTTTCTCATGCCAGTTCTCTAGCCATTCCATTGATTGTGTGGCTATCCCCTTTACTTCCAGTAAATTCCCTATTTGTTTAGTTTGCTAAGGAAGGTAGAATTCTAAGATGAACCCTAGTGACTCACTCCGTGTGTAATCCCCTCTCCTTGTGAACAGGCAGGTCCTATAACTTGCTTCTAACAACAATACAGCAAAGCTGATGGACCATACTTCCATGAGTGTTACTTATTATGTCAAAAGTGAAGAGATTTCACAGATGCAATTAAGCTCCTTAACTGCCTTTAAGTAATTTAAAGGGGAGATTGTCTTTGGCTGGCCTGACCTAATCAGGTGACCCCTTCAAAATAAGTGACAGGCTTTCTGAAGAAAGAGATTATTTTACTGGCTTTGAAGAAGCAAGCTTCCATGACTTCTACAACTCACGGAAGCATGGAAACTGTGAGATCATAATTACATGTTGTTTTAAGCCACTAAAGTTTGGGTCATTTGTTATAAAACAATAGAAAACTAATACAGTTTCCTTAGTTGGCTTATTTTGCTTTCAATCAAAGAACTCTGATAAAATGTGGGATCCCTGGAAAAGTTCCTTGGTTGAAATATATAAAGCATATTTTGATCAATAAACAACAAAATAAATTACATTTTTCTCGGGATTAAATGTCACAAATGTTGGTTTTTACTTATGTACAGTTTAGCATAAGTAAAATAGCCCTTCCCTCACTATGATCAGCTAAACTAGCTGTTTCCAAACATTTTGTCTCAGGATTTCTCTATACTCTTAAAATGTATTAAGTACCCTCAAAGAGCTTTTATGTAGTTCCAGCCACCAATATTTAGCATATTAGAAAATAAAACAGAGATATTTTTAAAATATTTATTTATTATTTAAAACATTGATAAACTTATTGAATGTTAAAATAAATAACATATTTTCCAAGATAAAATACATATATACAGAGAGAGAGAAAATTGGCACTGTTTTATATTTTTGCAAATATCTTTAATTGGGTATCTTAGTGTTAAAATAATTTAACATCTTCATTGAAACAATTAGATTTCCATATCTGTTTCTGTAATCAGTGTGTTGCTCTATATTGTTTGGGTTGAATGCAGGAAAAAAATCTGGCCTTACGCATATATGTAGTGGGAAAAGGGAGGAGTATTTTAAAAAGCCTTTTTTAGATAATTGTGGATATTCTCCTTTGATAATATACCCAAAACTTGGCAAATTATGGTTTCTTAAACTGCAGTGCAATGTAGAATCTAAAACCATATCAGTGAACTTTTCATATTCTGTTACATTAAAATCCAGTGGCCTATCTTGCTCATTAGATGAATATTTTACCCATGCATAATGTTTTAACATCGTGCATTGGTCACTTGGAAAATAATGGTTCCCTGAGTTATGCAGCTCTTCCGAATATTGACACATCTCATCATGTAATATAAAAAATGATATTTTTAATACCATCACCAATCTCATCTTTTAAATGTTGGAAAGATGTCAGATTCAGAGTGACTGACTGAAGTCCTCCAAAACTCTAATTTTCATTTGAAAATTCAAAGTTTATCATTGGCAAAAATGCTGTCTGTTATTTTCCTAAGTGACAGGTTCGCATACTTTATTTTGAGAAAATGTCTGCCAAATACCCAGATCTGAACAATAGTTTGTTTACCAGTCATTCTGTCAGATAAAAAATGATATTCCATGAAAAGATTCACCTAGTTCAGCTGACAGCTCAATCACACAAGTGTTTTCTTTGAGACAACCATCCTACTTAGGAATGCAGCAGCAGTTCTTAATACATACTTTCTATTTCATCACACAAAATATTAAAGACATGTGCACAAGGGCTGAAATCTAACTATTTTCAAATACTCCTTCAAGGACATCTTAAGTAAAACCAGCAATTTTGCTTTTTTAACTCTGAGTGCCTGATAAAGAATACAATTACCGCTGTCCCAATTCATGGTATTTTGACCCACCATTGCTTTTGCACCAGTAGTGAAAATATCAACACAGTAAAAAAGGCAAATAACATCTTGGTATTTTTATGAAAATGATTTTGATCCTGTAGACCCTGGAAAGTGCCTTAGGTACCTCCAAAAGTCCGCGGACCACACTTCAAGAACTGCTGATCTAAACTATCACTTGAGGGCAGTATTCCAATCACTTTGCACTTAACTCAAGGGGAATCTAACAATGCGTTTCAGTTTGGGTGTAGAACTCATTAGATATTTTCAAGCTGAAAAAAATATTTTCAAGTTGATACTGTTTATAAGCTTGGAAGTCTTTATCTTTAACTGATTACACAAATTTGCCAAAATAAGGCAGGAAAAAGTTTCTTTATATTTTAGGTTGGGCTAGTGATGATCAAGAATTAGAAATATCTTCTATAATGACCAAGCCACCTTGCTTTAACTAGCTAGTTAACGATGACAACACAGCTTCACTTTAGTGGGGTTGATGCTCTGTTGCTCTGGTTTTCTTATATTTCAAAATTTTAGGCATTTTCAATTTCCTGTCCCACAAACAAGATACTAAGGCCCATAGTTACCAAAGGAAATGATATAATTTTGCTCTGTGTCCCCACCCAAATCTCATCTGGAATTGTAATCCCCAGGTGTCGAGGGAGGGACCTATAATCCCCACACCAAGGCAGGGAAGTGATTGGATTGTGGAGTAGTTTCCCTCGTGCTGTTCTCGTGATAGTGAGTGAATTCTCATGAGATCTGATGGTTTTATAAATAGTAGTTTTTCCTGCACTATCACTCTCTTTCTCTCCCACCTGCTGCCAGGTAAGATGTGCCTGCTTCCCCTTTCACCATGATTGTAAGTGCCCTGAGGCCTCCCCAGCCATGCGGAACCATGAGTCAATCAAACGTCTTTCCTTTATAAATTACCCAGTCTTGGGTATTTCTTTATAGCAGTGTGAAAATGGACTAATGAAGCAGGATCCTTCCTTTTCTCAGCCACATCCTGGTTCCCCTTCTTTGGCTTAGGGTGTAATTTGCTGCTTCAAATGGTTGAGGGTAATTCTTGCCGAATATTAAAGTTTAGTAACAAAAGCGCATCTGTTTCTACTAGCCATGTCTCTTAATTGGCAGATTTATTCTACAAAAGAAGATTTCCTATTATTTTGTTTTGTTTTTATTGACACATAATTGTGCATTTTTATAGGGTACAGTGTGATAGTTCTATATATGTATACAATGTATAATGATCAAATCAGTGTTTTTAGCATTTCCATCACCTCTTACATTTATCATTTCTTTGCAGTGAGAACATTCAAAGTACTCTCTTCTAGCTATTTTGGAATATGCTTTACAATATTGTTAATCATACTCACCCTACTGTGCAATAGAACACCAGAACTCATTCCTTGTACCTGTTTGTACCTGTTGACCAGTCTCTCCTTATTTCTTCCCCCCTCCTCCCCTAGGTTTTGTATTTTTTAATTCAACCTAGAGTTTACTGAAATTATTGGAAAAGCAATATGGTAGTGACCAGCAGCACCTTATTTTCTGACAAAAGTCTAACTCTTATCTCATTTGCTCCCATCACTCACTACCTTTTTTTCCCCAGAGCTGGGCACAGCCTCAAATAAAGCACAATGTCTGTGCACTGTAGGTGATCAGTAATGCTGGTGGAACTGACTACATGGGCCAGGGCACACTCTAAAAAAGATAACATGCAGTGAAAAGTTCTTGCATGGCTTATAGGTTTACCACAGGAGAAAAAAGCTCAGCCATTGGTAAATCTATATTTGCTATAGATTTATCTTCTTGCCATGGCTTGGAATTCTCAGTGTGCCTCTTTATTGTCCACTCACTTCAGGACTTATTACAGGAAGTGCTCACTAATAGCCAATTTTCAAGTGAATGAAATTGTGGAGAAATACCAAGAGATACATAAGAGGATTTTTCCACCACACACAAAGCTGCTAAAATTGCAACCCCAGCATGGACTGCAGCGAAAATATGATGGGATTTTCTAATTGGCACTTATTAAATCCCAGCTATTGTTTGGAATGTCATTCTGCCTAGAAACAGGGTCTTTATTTTCATTCTAGTACATTAATCATACCCAGTTTTTCTATGAACATCTGTCCCACTGCTAAACACTATAGAATGACTCATTCAGGCCTTCATTCAACAAGCATTTATTAAGTACCTGTTATGTAGCCAGCAAGGGGTGATAGTGAATAAGAAGGATGTGATCTCTGCTTTGTAAAATGGAAATAACGGTTGCTATGAGGACAAAATGAGTCAATACAAGTACAACACTTAGATCAAACTTGGCACATAGTAAACATACATAAGTGTTGTTTTTATTGTTCAGTTCACATTCAAAGAGAGAAACATACACTCTCCAAGATATTGTAATAAAATGTGATATATGCGTGATGAATAACTACAATTGCTAAGGTGAGTAATTGAAATAAATAATAAATAAAATACATAAGCTATGAGGACACCTTGGATGGGCATTTAACAGATATTGAAGGCAGAATCATGAAATGGTTTTCTGAGGAGAGAGTATCTGAACTGCATTTGACAGTATAAGTAGGCATTACTGTAGTCAGGAGAAGAAGAGTGAAGGGAGGTGTTCTAGGCAGAGATAATAGCTGTAATCATGAGCTATACCATAAAGGGATAAGTTTTATCCTGAAGGTTAAGAGTACCACTGAAGAACTTTGAGGAGGGAAGTGACATGAACAGATCTGCAATTTAGAAAGTTGACCAGTTGCAGTGTGGAGAGTGAATTAGACAAATAGCAACTCGAAGCAGGGGAACTGGATAACAGACTATGTGTAGTAATTTAACAGAGAAATATAGAGAGCCTGAATCAAAATATAGCTGTGAAAAGGGTGAAAGAAGGGACAGAAATTTAATAAGAAGAAGGCAAAAACATCAGGACTTTGTGACTACTGGATGTAGAAGGTGAGGCTGAAGAGGGATGACTTCCTGGTTTCTGCTTAAGATAAGTACACAGGTGCTGATGATATTGACTAGGAAAGGGGAAAAAAGAGAACTATCGGGTCTGCTGAAAAAGATTATGAGAGAAGCTTTATGCAAAATTTCTGTTGCTTTTGCATATCTAATAAAGCAACTAGATATTCCAACAAGCTTGGGTTGGAAATTCTAGTTTGGAGGGTCAGCACATCAGTGGTAACTCTAACCATGGGACTAGATGAGTTCATCCAGTGGTGTCATACCAATATTTAAGGGACAGATCGAAGAGGAAGAGCCTACAAGGAGCGTGAGAAAGACTGAACATAGAGGAGAAAGCAAGGACACTGAAGACAAATGAGATTTCTCATCAGTGTCAAATGGGGCAGAAGAACTAAGTGAAATAAGAATAGGGCAATGTCCATCAGTTTCAACAACTGGGACATAATTAGCAGTCATTGAAGGAGGAGCTTCATTGAACTGGGGAGGGCAGAAATTAGACTGCAGTCAGTAAGATTAAAAGCAAGTGAAGCTGTGGAAGCTCTATAACAGGATAACTTGTTCCAGAAGCCTAGCTCTGGAGGGAAGAAGGAGCTAGAATGGCCAGAGGAGGTTTGTTTATTTTTATGCTTTGAAATATGAGAAAGACTTAAATGTATTTTACATTGATCTAAAAACAAAATTAATAATGAAGAATAGGCTCTTGATACAGTAAAGACTTAGAAGCATTGATTAGCAAGAAGAGAAACATGCAAATGCAATCCAGAGCCAAGTTCAAGCATTAACCTATGACACGAGGAGAGACATCTACTAATTTGGTGTAAATACAAATAAATGCATGCAGGCAAGGAAGTTGACAGATGGTACAATTTATCCCTGGGAGCTCTGGATAGATTTCTTGTATTAAGGCTACTATTTTCTTTTGAGGTAGCAATGGATGTCATGTGCTGAAAATGGTATGGAAATTGTGGGTTAGAGGGCTTGAGGAGGATAGTGAAGAGTGAAGGAGTGAGGACTGTGAAAAGATGACCAGGGCAGACAGAAGTATTAAGATTCAGAGTCTATCCAAAAATTGGAGATCATTATTGGCATCAATCTGCATGAGCATGTAATCTTCCACAGCTGTGCCTGGTGTGCATAATCAGGTGCAGAGAAGCTGGACATTGGAGTCCTTCCAAAGTTTGGATTCTGGAGGTAAAATAGGGACGGTAGCAAGAAAATGGAGTGTATGGTTTAAGAAAATGGTTTAGGAGAATGATTAAAAATTATGTCACCTGGGCCAGTTAGAAATGGTATTGAAGCCAAGAGGGGACTGATAGATTGAGAGAAAATGAACAGGGGCAAGAGACTGGAGCACTGAATAAGGTCAGAGAATAAGTATGGTGATCACAACACAGAAAGCTCTTTTCAGAAGCAGATCATTGCTTGAGAATGAGATATTGAAATTCAAGATTCCAGAGTTGAAGCAACTCTGGGTGACAAGGTCCATAGTGTGGCCAAGGGAATAATTTTCCCATGAAGAGTGGGAAGGGCACTCTGTGTGTGTGTGTGTGTGTGTGTGTGCGCGAGCGCGTATGTGTGTGTGTGTGTGTTTGTTGGGTCACCTGAATCAGTGTGGCAGGATTTGCAATGAAGAGGAAGATAGGGACTCAGGTGCCAAAACTATGAAAGACTATACAGAGAAATAACCATGATGTTGATGGATGACAGTGATGCTAAGTAGACTAATAATCAGATGGCCTGACCAAAAAAGATGGCTGGAGGTATAATGTTCAGGATGCAAGAAAATGCTGAACACCCTCTTGACAATGAAAAACAATGAACAACCTCTATTTGATATAGCTGTAGTGGGAAGTCGTGTCCTAATGGATAGTCAATTTTCAGTTAAGGTAAGGAGGTAAAAGATCTAAGGGACTTCCAAGAGCATGATGGAAAGATTAGCAGGAAGAGAAGCAATGGGGTGAATATAACATGAGGAAGGGAAGAAAATTAAAAAAGAACATGAAGATGCGAGTGGGGGAAGGACAGATGACTAAAGAAGTTTGTAATTTGGATATTGGCCAAGGGTGCAAAGGATGTGAGACAGGAAAGAACCAGGATAAAGCTGTTTCAGGGTCAACGCAGACCTCAGGAGGTGTTAGATGCTGACGATATGCACAGGCTGAGGCCTTTGCTCTAGTTTTCAAGGGGAAAGTTGGTGAGAAAATGTCTCTGAAGAAATGTTAGTCTGGGATTGCTACCAAATAGTTCAGTCTTGGGACCCTCATCTTATATTGGAAACTGCACTTGTTCTCTCCTAGGGATCAATTACACAATCCAAATTCTGTCCTTGAGAGACTCCCAACCCCTTTGAGATATGTTCTTTTTCAATTTCATAGGCCATAATATCATGCTTATCTATTCTCCAAACATTTGAAAATCTACATTGCAAAAGTTTCGGGATGTGCATCTAACTGTGCCCAGTGTTCCCACAAATACTGTCCTGTTGCAACCTCTCTTATATGACAGTGAGATTCTTGATGGTGAGGATTGTTTCTTTTTTGTTTCTGTATCCCCAGAACTTCAGGATGTCCATAGTGCATGGTAGGTGTACATTATGTTTGCCAAATGAATGAAGCATACAAATAAATATACTAGTATCTGCACGCATCATTTTCAACAGAGGGAAAAGCTGTTCCTCTTCGTATAGAAGGCTTATGCCCCCACTTACATTTGAATTCCATTCTCTCCAGTCTTCTCAGAGAGCTACATGATTAACTATCCTTTCCCTCTTGCATGTATCAATCTTCCCTTCTAAAAACTATTTTTTCTTTAAGTTTCAGAATGTCTCTCACAAATTAATGTCTCCTGCCTTGACCTTACCTCTGCATTTCAGACCATGATGGGTGCACAATTGCTTATTGACATTTCTACTTGGATTTTACATAGGCATCTTAATCTTATGACCTTTCCCCTGGTCCTATTCCAGTTTTTCCTGTCTCTATGAATGAAATCACTGCCCATCTTGTTGTACAAGCTAGAAAGCTGAGTCACCTTTGACACCTCCCTCTCTTTCACCTCCATATTGACCCACTATGGAGTCCTGGCATTTGCCTCCTGAATAGCTTCTAATCTTCTGCCTGGTCACGTCTACCACCACCACATGACCTAAGCCACCACAGTGTCTTGTCTGGACTGTTGTATTTCCTAACAAATATTCCTGCATCCACTCTTACTCCTATCAATCCCCAACTCCAAACTCGTTGCCAGACTGCAGCCAGTCCCAGTTTGGAACTCTTAATCTGATACCCCAAACTCATGGATTCCTGTTGCTTTTAGGATGAGGGCTGAAATCTCCAAAGTGCTCCCCAAGGCCAGTGTAGTCTGGCCCAAGCCTGTCTCTTCAGCACATTGGACAGCATGGTCTCCTATGCTTGCTTTGGTCAGATATTGACTTCTATAAGTTCATCAAATATGACAAACTCTACCCACCACAGTACTTGGGATATCTAAAAGGCATCTCTGACTTTACTTGACTCAAAACAATCTCCTGAACTACCCCTCACAGTCTCTTCCCTTCACCATTCTCCCTATCTCAGTGAGTAAGGCTCTATTCTATGAGTTCTTTAATCCAAAGATGTTGAGGCCACCCTTGACTCTCTTTTTCTCACACTCAATTTCCATTCCTTTGGCAAATCCCATCAGCTCTACCTTCAAAGTATATCCAACCACATCTCTGATCACATCTCACCATCTCTGCTTGTACCAAACTGGTCCAAACCATTATTGTAAATGCCTCTAAGTGTTTCTTGCTGCCCTCACCTTTGCAGCACTAACAGTCTATTTTTCATATGTCAGACCCGGTGATCCACTTCTTTGCTAAAACTCTCCAAGGGTTGCCTGGCTCACATGCAAGGCACTGGACAATGTGGCCCCATGACCTCTCTGATTGCATTTCCTATCACTGCTCCTTTTCCCTCTCCCATCACAACACATACTCAGACACAGTGCTGTCTGTTCCCAGAACATGCCCAAGGATGCTCTACTGCAGCTCTCAGCCCTCACTCCTCCCCCTACCCAGAGGCCTCCCTCACTCACAGTTGCATGATCTGCTGCCTCAGCTGAAAGGCTGATCCCTGTAATACCCACCTCACCTGCACACTCTGGACTCCTGTTTAGCTCATCCTTTCCATTTCTTCACAGCACTTAACACCACCTGATGTAGTTTACGTCATCTGTTTCTAGTCATCTGTTTATAGTTTATCTGTCATCTGTTTATTCAGATGACATCTGTGTATGTCATCTGTTTATGACATCTGTTTATTCGGTCATCTGTTTATAGTCTGTTTTTCCTTCAACTAAAACATAAGCTCTCTGTGGGCAAGGAATTTGTTTTGTTCACTGCTGTATCCTCAGCACCAGCACAGTGCCTGAAGTTGTTGAAAGGCTGCAGGAAGAATGAATGCCGTTCCCTTTATCTAGAATGTTCTCCAGCTCTTCTGTGTTTTATCAGCTCCCAGTCATCCTTCAGATGTCAGTCTAAGAGTCACTTCCACAGAGAAGCTTTCCCTGACCTTCAGTATTCTGTCTAATCTGTCATTTAAGCCCTTTCCATATACTCTTTTTTTGTGACCACTTACCACAGTTGTAATGTTATGCTTATCTGTATGATACAATTGATTATGATTATTCTCTTACTGGACTTTAAACTCCATGAGGGCAGGAGTTTTAATTCATCTATCTGCTTTTGCTCATCATGGTTTCCTCTGAAAGTAGTGCAGAGCCCAGCATTTGGTAGACAATAAAGATTCCTTGAGTAAATGAAAAAATGGAGTGAATTAATAAATAAATGAGTTAAGTAACAAATAGATTTGGTCTTTTTTTTTCTTTAGTTTCTTTTTTAAAAACAGACCTAAAGCTTACAATTCTTTGAGTTTCTGACACCTTTATTTCGCCAACCAATTTATTTTTGTTCCTCAACACCACTTAACTTTTCATTTTATTTTCTTTAAATTGAGAGATGAAGTTGTCAGCAGGTAGGTCATGAATTTAAAGCAGGAGTGCTAGAATAATGATTCCCATCTCAGTCACCTGCAGAGCTTGTTTAACAATCAGACTTCCAAGCCTCAGGCCTCAGTTTTTCGTAAGGATCTATTAAGAAAGACCAGATAACTTTCAGGAGCCTCATACCTTATCTTATGTTGTTTCTTTATCCTTAGAAGAATTAAAAGGAGACCATAACTCAGAAATATATCAATTATCAAACAACAGGTGAACTGCAAATTGAAGCTCAGCTTGCCATACTCAGCGGGGAAGACAGGCTTTAGAATACACTCTTTCTTGCATTAAAATGCTTTTAAAAACAAGCATTGTTGACCTAACTGCAAAGAATGTCAAAACTGAGTAACTACAGGAAGAACATTGCTGGGTTTCTGCACGTGAAGAAAATGAAAAACAAAAAGGCCCCCAAAACCTTAAGTCTCCGTGTTTTTCTTCTGCTCAAGATAAAGACATTTTTGGCTGGGCACGGCAACTCATGCCTGTAATCCCAGCACTTTGGGAGGGCAAGGCCAGCGGATCACTTGAGGTCAGGAGTTTGAGACCAGCCTGGCCAACATGGCAAAACCTTTTCTCTACTGAAAACACAAAAATTAGCCAGGCATGGTGGCGGGCACCTGTGGTCCCAGCTACTCAGGAGTATGAGGTGGGAGAATGGCTTGAACCCAGGAGGCAGAGACTGCAGTGAGTCGAGACTGCGCCACTGCACTGCAACCTGGCTGATAGAGCCAGACTCGACTGTAAAAACAAACAAACACAAAAAAGACTGAGTTTCACTAATATACAGAAGGTCAGTAAGGGACATCTGTACTTCAGAGATTATTAAGATCTGCCAGAATATGATGAAAGCAAATTTGAATGAATCATTACAAAAATAATCAATCTTATGACAAGTTTTCTAAATGAAGTTTTAAAAATAATAAAATACTTTAAAATAATAACTTGTTTAAAATTTAAATCTTTAAAGTGACTTTAATTCTAAGAAAGAGTGCCATTTTCCAGATGAAAAAACAGAGGTATCACCCCAATATTGTAAAATAAAAAATCCTGACTTTTTGTTGTTGTTGTTCATTTGTTTCATTTGGAAACAAAGCAACCAACATCAAAGGCTGCAATGTAGGACTATTAGAACATTTTGCTGAGGAGAAGGTAAATTGATTAGTAAAGATAATGAAGTTTGAAGAACCTACTTCTTTTTTTTTTTTTCCTTTTTTTTATTATACTCTAAGTTCTAGGGTACATGTGCACAATATGCAGGTTTGTTACATATGTATACATGTGCCATGTTGGTGTGCTGCACCCATTAACTCATCATTTACATTAGGTATATCTCCTAATGCTATCTCTCCCCACCTACCCCCACCCCACGATAGGCCCCAGTGTGTGATGTTCCCCTTCCTGTGTCCAAGTGTTCTCATTAGAACTTACTTCTTAAAAGGAGAAAAATGGAAGCCAATTTTTTTTTTTTTACCTTAGCAAAGTATACCAATGAAATGTGCAGTTTTTGGTAAGTATTTTGGTTCTAGTGTTAAGTCTAAAACAAGGAAGGCTTTAATTACCCTAAGAAACTAAATGCAACAAAAAAAATCTTAGGAGAAAAAATTTTTCCTGCAGTCAAGAGAATGCTGCTTTTACCGACATTTTCTTATCTCTTATTTCAGTATTCTTGAAAAATTGATTGATTAATAAGGCAATTCTGTCTAGGTAAAACTGCCTGGAGACAATCAGTTGTTATATTCCTGTGTACAGGGCAAAATGACAAAAAGGATAACGCAGGAAACCTTGGGGCAAGTACTGTAAATTACAGAGTATCTGGTCGATGGAGAAGCAATTATGAAAGAAAAAGGACCTACTTCTTCCTCATAACTGAAATCACCCATTCATTGTTATTGACCCTAAGAAAGATGAAAGGGAGGAACGCCTGTTGTTAGGAGTCAAAGAGATAATAAGAAACCATTGAATCAGGAATAGGGGATGAACCATTATTTATCTATATTGACAATGTTTTGCTTCAGATATGTTGATTGTAATGTTTCTATTTTCTCTCAAATTCTTTCTCACAATGTTCTAATAACTTCTTTTAAAATTGCTAGTCAAAATGCCTTAAATAAAATGTTTTACCAGCTCTCAGCATCAAAGGGGTCAAATCTGGTGACAAACACCAGAATCATAAATATAACAATTATAGGCACGTAAGGTGCCCTGCGGAAAACAGAGCATCTCCACACTCTAAGAAATCTCTCATTCCTCCCAAAGATAGAACAAATAATCCCCTTAAAAAGGGGGAAAGTGACATTTGTTTTACATTTTATTTTCTAATCCCATTATTTTTTAAAAGATCTAAGTAAAGCAAGTCTTCTAAAAGTATGATATTCCACCTTCTTCCTTCTCATTGTGTTTTATGTAATGCTCCACCAGGTTATGCTTACCATCTTACAAATGGCTCTAGGTTTTGCTCTAAAAGAATTCAGTGGTGAATTCTTTTTGTGTAATACCATTACACACACAAAAAATGTGTAACACATTGGTAAACATTGGGTAATACCAATTCTTTTCATGTAATATCATCACACAAAAAAGCATGGTTAGAGGAATTTAGAGACACACAGGCTTTAAACCAGGATGGGACTAGGACTAAAGTGATTCCAAGGTGGAATGAAAAAAGTACAAAAATTAAATATCTAAACTCTCTGATAAGATGGGCAGAAGGTTATAAAATATATGACCACCCCACAAGACTCAATCAAATGTATTAGAATTTCATTTTGGAAGTGATTCACCACCATAAAAAAAGTTTGTTTCCCATAGTTTGAAAGAAACTCTTATAATTTAAACCTTTTTTTCTCCCCAGAGCAAATCTGCATATGAATTTTTGCTGTTTAACTGCTTAGAGGTACTTTATTAACAAAGATCTTGTCCCAGGGCTTTGTGAGCCTTCACTATTAAATGAAAAGTACAAGAGTTCAAATTTGAAGACAATTCTCACATCCTATGTTATTAATAAATAAAGCAAGAACACAGCCTGGGCTATAGGTGTGAAGAAGAAAGCCTTCTAATTCTCCTTGCTCACAATTTTTTTACTCTGAGTCAAATACAATCATAAACTAAACTGTATAATAGAACCGGAATGATATCTAACTTTTCAGTGCAAATATCATCCAACAAAATAGATAAGAATCACTAACATTTATTGGGCACTTACTATGTTGCAGACAATGTCCCACACATCATGCAATTATTTTATCATATAATCTTTACAATAACTCCATGAGGTAACATATAAAAATGCTCAGGGCAGAGAGCTTAAGTAATTTGTACGAGTCTGATTGACATCTGATTGCTGGGAGAAAGAGCAAGAACTGTCACCCAGGATCTCTATCTCCAGAGCCATATAGTCTCCTTTCCTGTAAGAAACTAGTAAGATATTTCTGGCTAAGTATTCTCTAGGGTAAAGAGCATGCACTTTCACCTTCACATGTGTGTTATTTCCAAACCATAGTCCTTTGTTTGGAAATGAAGAAAGCTGCAATCATTTTTGAAATTGAAAAAAGGTGAGGCTTTGTGAAGGTGCACTAATGTGATAAACAAAGCTGTGGCAGCTCCAGTGGAGACAGAAAATCATTCTCTTCATTTACCTTCGCTGCTTGTTTATTTTGGAATTTCCAAGTAAGCATTTGCCCCATTGTCTTAGGGCAGCGGAAAGGCTAGGTTCTATATGAGTTCTGATCCTTCTTTGAGGTGTACTCTGACTAGAAATAGTATTACAGAGCTTATTCCAGAGCACCTTCATCCAATTTTCCCACTGGAAAAAAATATGCGAATTTTTTAGAGCATTATGTAATTGGTACTGTCTTGTAACTGTAAGCTTTGATCAACAACAACAACAATAATAATATAGTAATAGTAACAACAATAGCTAACACTTTTTGTGCCAGGCCTTCTGCTAGGGGCTTCACATGTATTATCCCATTTAACCTTTACAATAATCTTAAAAGGCAGACCTCATTATTACAGATAAGACAACTGAGGCTCAAAGAAGTTAAACAAATTGTCTAAACGTTCTTTATTTACAAAGTTAACTAACTGCTTTTCATATTATTTATTTATTTATTGAGACAGGGTCTCACTCTGCCACCCAGATTGGAGTACAGTGGCACCATTACAGGTCACTGGAGCCTCGACCTCCCAGGCTCAAGTGATCCTCTCACCTCAGTCTCCCAAGTAGCTAGGACTACGAGAGTGCACCACCACACCTGGCTAATTCTTTTACTTTTTGCAGAGATGGCATCTTGCTATGTTGCCAAGGCTGGTCTCAAACTTGTGGCCTCAAGTTTGGAGGCCTCAAGTGGGAGGCACCTGTCTTGGCCTCCCAAGGTGTTAGGATTACAGGTCTGAGTCACTACACTCGGCTCTAACTACTTGTGAATTCATGTTATTTTTATATGCCTTTGCCTCAAGGAAGGATACAAGGCAATTAATATTCACTTGGGAACTCTTCAACTGTTCCATATAATCATGCATATTTCATATTATTGCAGTAATTCCATTTGCAATTTAAATACACTATTATCTTTTTAAAACATTACATACGTCTAATAAGTCACTGCTTTGGTATGTATAGAATTTGAACATGTCCCATAGAGAAGCCAGATGAAGAAAAAGAAACAAGTAAAATGTTTGTGGAATGAAGGCCCTGTTCCAGTTCGCCCATACCCAGCAGAATAGAACCATCGGCCTTCTGAGTACTTTGAAGTTGATTATTTAATGAAAAGCAAAAGGCAAAAATCTATAGTCAGGGACAAGATGGAATGTATAATCTCTGCTGTAAGTACAAAAATTAAGTTTTGTGTTTTAATTGATTTTCCTAGGCAAATTCAATAAAATGATCAAATGCAATTAAAGTATCATATTCTTCCCTGGAGCTCTCAAGTTCCCTGCTACTTTAATCTATGTTTGAATCCTATATGAAAAGCCTTAGACTATAAATATGCACGAGGTATGCCAAAGTGACACTTGGTGATACAGAAACTTACTGCAGAATTGAATTTCAGAGACTGGAAACAACTGTCTTCCTCCATCCATCCTTCCAACCCCCTCAACCCCAAAAAGTTCAGCATTTCATTTCATGCAGTCATAGTGAACTTGGTCAGTTTTTCTTCACTCAAATGCTTCAACAACTTGCAACAATTATTTGGCTTGGACTTCACAGCACAAGGTGAACCAAGTACTTATTTTTAACCAATGTAGACCAGATTTCTTGATTCTGCTTCACAGAAAATTAGTCATCGATTTCTTAGGATAAATGAGTTCTGCTGATCTACAGTGCAGACCAAGGAAAAGTGTAAATGAGGTAAAAAGACCAGTCTCTCACCCTAAGATTCATTCAGTTTGTCACTCCTGTGAATAACGTTAGCAACAGCTGAGACTGCATTTGTTGCTTGGTTTTCTCTTACCTTTTTGTCTAGTTTCTCTGGCTTCAGGTTCCTCTATGACCAGAATACGAGCTGAGCAGACAATGTAGCAGAAAAATTTAAATTACTTCTAAAGAGCAATGAGAGGGGCTCTCACAGTATCCCAAGACCAGCAGCTTTTCAGAAGAACCTTCAGAAGAATGGTTCATCACACTATTATATCCCCATGCCTGAAGTGCAGCTCACCCCAAGCTGAATTGAAAGGCTCTGTGGGCTGAGCTTACCAGGGACAACTGCAATCATCTTTGTATTGTGAAATCCAAGTAATGTGTTCTAGTCCTAAAATGTTGTCACTGCAGCCCTCAGCATGACAGAGTTTGAGAAACGTAATTTGGTTATCTCTATGGTGATCAGAAATGGAGTATCCAGTCCTTTTGTTAATTCATTCGATCAGCCATTTACCCAACAACAAAAATTATTGATGACCTGCTAAATACTGCACTATGTTTTAGAGATTAAAAGTGCTGAAGATGAAGAATATGACACAGTATATGGACTTCCACAAATGAATGTCATCCCAATTCTCCTACCTACCTCCCAGTTTTATGTGTTTGCTCAGAGAAAGGAAGGAGAAGAGATTTACAGAAGTAGGAATGCACTGTAGTAAACACATCATCTCAAAAGTTATAGTGCTAGGTTCCAATCACAAACCTGACATATTATAATTGAGTAACTTCAGACAAGCTTTGAAACTGCTATGTGTCTCAGTTTCTCTGTCTGTAATCCTGGGATGGGGCTAGTAATAGTACTTCCCTACAGACTGTTAGTAATACCTCCCAATAGACTGTTGGGAGGACTAAGAGATTAAACCATGCAAATGATTCAGGACAGTACCTGGCAAATACTAAGCACAATATAAATACTACAAATATTTTCATTACCCTCTGAGTTTAATCAGATTTCCTAGAATTCATTTGGACCAAATTGTCAGTGTGTGTGCAATTCTGCTAGATAATTTTGTTCTTATGAAGACAGCTGGCGTCAGTTACCTATAATGTCATTATGAGTAATGATGGAGCTTATTTTCCAGGTCTAGAAAAGAACTTGTAAAGTACATATAGCATTCTAAATTGGTCCTTATTAGTGGGTGAATTCAAATTTGAAAGATTAACAAAGACAAAGACTTCCTCTTTGACCCAACTTTAGTCAGGCTCCTCTTCTGAACTAAGCCTTGACATTGACCTCCTGAACCCTGCTTTAGCAAAGAATCCTATTAAGCCAGTTTATTGAGAATTCTCCTCACTCTTGATATCTAGAGTGATATCAAGGTGTCCCATGAAGAATCCAGATGAAGAAAAAGAAACAGGTAAAATATCACTCTAGATATCAAGAGTGAGGAGAATTCCTCTCCTCCTACCCCCTTCCTTGATACCTTAAGCAAGTTCCTCATAGTAACTGTCCATTTTCTCTCCTACTCTAAATCCCCACTTGTCCCTATTTGTATTTGGAGTTGAATTCACTCTCTCTCCCCTAGTGCAATAGTCTTGACCCCTAT